>NC_000014.9:79157167-79308682 GCF_000001405.40 Homo sapiens | reverse complement strand
GTTCTCAGACCATTCCACAAGACATCAAATCTTTCTGGAATATCTACAGGGCAGCCAGGAAAAGGGTTAAGAAAGATGCACAGACCCCTCCCTCAAAGTAATTAAAGACTCCTTTTTTTGGCACTCATACATGATCAAAGAATAGTTTATAAAAATATATCTGACTTTAGCCACAGCTTCTTCAGGAGAATACCATATGCAAGTTAAAAAGTTTCTAGAAAATTCATAAGCTTGGAGGACCAGTCTAACTCTCTAAGACCTTCAGGTATAGCATCCTAAGTCCTTCAAGTGTAACGAGCAATCAGAAAGGCAGGCAGTTAACTCTTAAAGTTGGCTGCACAATAGCTTTGGGAACTTGAGGCAAAGAGAGGTTAAGAATGGAGAAATGACATAAGTAATAGGTAAGACAGTGTAAAAGGAAATTCTCAAGACATACAAAGGACAAAGATGGTATTATGAGCCAAATTACTTCATTTCAACATTCATATGTTGAAGTCCTAACCCCCTAAGTCCTAACACCCCTCAGAATGTGACTGTATTAGAAGACAGGGCCTTTAAAGAGGTGAGTAAGTGAAAATGAGCTCAGATGCATGAGCCTCAATCATGACTAGTATCCTTATATGAAGAGGTGATTAGGACACAGAGACAGAAGAAAGTCCATGTGAAGACAGAGAGACAAGATCACCATTTATAAACCAAAGACAGAGGCCTCAGAGAAAACAATGCTCCATGACACCTTGATCTCGGACTTTTAGTTTCCACAACTGTAATAAATTTCTGTTGTTTAAGCCACTGGTACTTTCATATGGCAAACCTAGCAAACTAATACAAATGGCTTGACCAAAAGAAGACTGCCAGGGGAAAAGAGAGAGAGAGAGAAAAAAAATAAAGAAAGAGAGAAAGAGAGAGAGAGAGAAAGAGAGGTGAAATGAAACCTCATGTGAAGACTGCACTAATCTATGGTAAAATAAAATTAGGATCAGACATTGCTGGAGAACGAAAGCCTTCTACCAATAATGAGTAGTAACTTGCCAGGCATGTGAGTGAAACTTGGAAGTACATCTTCCAGCCCAGTCAAGGCTTCAGGTGACTGACTGCAGCCTGGGCCAATATCTTGACTACAATTTCATAAGAGACCCTGAGCCCAGCTAGGCTGCTCCTGAATTTTTGACCCACAAAGCCTGAATGAGATAATAGGTGTTTATTGCTTTAATCTGCTAAGTTTTGGGGTAAGTTTTCATGAAACAATAGATTACCAATACACCTCATAAAATCAGAATGAACTCATGGATTTTGAAGACCAATAACAAGGGGTAAACCTAAAATATAATAAAGTAACTAAAGGTATTATGAAGGTGGTAGAATATGATGGTTAAAACCTTAAGCTCTGAAGTCAGACTTAAGTTGATTCCAATTCCAGCTCTGTCAATTTATTGATATGGGACCTAGAGTAACTTATTTAATGTTTTTGAGGCTCATTTCCATATGAGGAAATTAGGATAGTAGTAATAAAACCCATGAATAAGGAGGAAGAAATAAGATCATTCTTAGGCTTTGGTGCATTGCTAACATTTGATAAATTGTGGCTGTCCTAATTAGGGAGGTGAAAGAACTCTAAAAACTAAATCAAAGTTGTTTACCAAAATCAGCTATTTCCTGGAAGTAGAAGGAGTGGCCCCCACTATCCCTTCTCGAATGACCCTTCTTAAGGAGACAGCTCTTAATAAGGGTCAGTGAAAAAAGGTTCACCCTATCTGGAGACTAAAAAGGCTGTCAAGTTTAATGAAGTCAATAATGGGGAAAACTAGAATCTGTTCATCAACCACAATCGCCCATGTGGTGAGGCCTGGCTCTTCCCAAAGACCTAGTCCCAAAGTGTTAATGGAAGGTGTTGAAAAGAGTCAAACAAGATGCTATCTTGCAGACCTGATGAGATTGCAATTTGCCGACAACTGGGGCTTATCTCAAATGATGAACTAGGTGTCAGGGCTGAGTGGAAAAGTAGAAAGCTAGCATCTTGGAGACCTCAGAAAGCAGGCAGCAGGGGCTGTGAACAGCACCTCTCAAGCTCTGTGCAGAGGAAATGAGGATAAGATCATGGTGTTAATGAGTAGTCATTAAAAACAGTCAAGCAAACAAATAGCCTTGTATTAAAATAACTATATATATGCCTGAATTTCTGCCAAAGCAGTTAGCATTACCTTTAAAGACTTTTTATAGGTGAGTATATTACAAAGAGAAAAACCATATTTAAATGGCATTTCCCTTAATTTAAAAACACAGAGTGCTGGATGTGGAACAAGGTGCACGATGTTGAGGGGAAGGGACATGAAAGTGGCATTATAATGAAGCATAAAAAGGAAGAGTTGTCTAAATGAGGAGACTTCAACAAGGATGTGTGCGTTGTCTTCAGGGGGAATGAATATACAGTATAGTGTGGCTGTGATGTCTTGTTTTTTATCCCCCACCTATGGGCCAAATCAAATAAAATCAATGTATATTTATCACTCTGGAAAGGATTTAAGCTGACAGAGCATCCCAGCTCACAGAGAAGCTCTGCAGCACTGCAAATGTCCCCAGAGAGAAAGAGAAGAACTTACGGTCAACACATGCTCATTTCAATGATGGAATCACATCACACATTTTCATCCAGCCTGGTGGCTATTTCACACTGGAACGCAACTGTCTTTTCAGGTTAAAACAAATATATTGTTCTTGAAGTTTCCATAGATTTAGAGTAATATCCCAGTCCCATTGATACCAGGATTTCAAGAACATTCCACTCCGACCCCACTTTATTTGTTAGGATTGTATCTTATCTGAACTGGGAACCACCTTAGGGATCTTCCAATGTAAGTTTGCCTCACTGGACAGGTGAGGAAACTGAGGGCAGGTGAGGTGAAGCCACTGGGATGGAATTATAAGGTTAGTTCATTACTTCTTCTATGGTAGCTAGTGGAATCTTTGAAACAGTCACAAAAATATGTGGAAGGTATTAGGTGAAATTGGTAAGTTAAAAATGGCAGAAGGAAGAGTTTTGAGGCCAGAGGAAAAAAACTAATCCCCGGGGTTCTAGCCCTCATTCTGTCCTGAGTGTATTACTTTGGCAAAGTCATTTACTTTCTATGAACCTCAGTTCCCTATCTTGAAAATGTGTTTCTGGCTGAGATGACCTCTATGATTCCTTCCATCTGTAAAATGTCAGGGTACAAATGCTGCTTACTTCATTTAGCTCTGTGTTAGTCAATAAGTTCCCAAAGATACATTGGCTGTGGAATCTCTAGGTGTTAGAAGAATGTTCTGAGAACCAAGTAGCTAGGATTCTGAAAATGTATGAAGTCCATAGTGAGAAAATTAAGGTTTGCACAGGACTTTGTATGTTAATTTCACCAGCAATTATGATAATAATAATGACTGGCATTTATCTGAGTATTTACGAATGCTAGGCATTAAGCTAATATACACATATTAGCTCATAAATAACCACTACACATACCATATTAGCTCTTAAATCATCACAGACTACATAAATGGGTAGTTTAAAAAATACCCATTTTACAGATGAAGAACATGACAAAGAGACTAGAAAAAGAAACTTGCCCAAGGTTACATAGCTGACAAGTAGCAGAGCCAGAAGTCAATCACAGACAGTGGTCTAGAGATGCCAACAGCACTGCTGTGCTTCTGGCAGGCTGCAAGATTCAGAATCTTCAGGATGTTCCTAGGGGTATGTCTTTGGAGAGTTACAGATGCTTTAGGGACAGAGTCTCATATACATGTTTGCCTTTAGCACGAAGCAAAGACCTGTGTTAAATAAATGTTATTGAAGGCGTGGTGTTAAGAGGTGTTAAACTAAATTAAAATGGAGACCTTGAAGAATGCTTCAATGGTGCAAGAATTCCTGAGCAGACAGAGCCAGTTAGGCCTCATAAGTGGCCTTAGACTTGCTTGAATTGCAAACATCAGCAGAACTTAACTTGAGCTATTTCTTGTAAATGCCTATAATAATGACAAACAGAACTTAAGCTCAACCAATCACACTTATAATTACATAACTAGGAATTTCCCAGCAAAGACAGCTTTATAACTGTAATCAATCAAATATTTTATTTGTATTAGGTCTGCATTCTCTTTATAATAGCTTAGTTCTCATACTTCTTCATTGGAATCCCCATACCACTTCTGGTTTGGAGCTGCCCAATTCATGAATCTCTGTTTGCTCAAATGAACTCTAAAATTGTACCATGCTTCCATTACCTTTTTAACACAGGTCACTTTTTACTGTTGCTCACTAACATACAGGGATCCCAAAAGGCAATGGGTGGAAATGTAGAGATTTTCTTACACCACAACCTCTTAGACCAAGCCTCTCTTTTCTGGACAGCTTTAAATGCAAAATGCCTACAGAGTGAGGGAACTGATTAGCAGCCATGTATTTGGGAACTCCGACACTCACCCTGCTGCTGAATGAACTGTCCCCTAATGGGGCCAGGAGACACACACCTACTCTCTAGGCATTTTCATCCCACACCACCAATCTCTATGACTAAATGCAGTATATCCCATTCTCTTTTCATTGTACCACACTGCTCAGCTAGCACGTTTCCCTTGCTTGTGTAGTTCTTGAGTAGGAATTTAAAAGGTTTATGTGAGATGATAATTGTAAAAAGACTTTGTAAACCTTAACGTATTAAGCAAATGTTAAAAGGTGCCATTGTTGTTGCTGCTGATGCCACTACTGCTATTATTACCACCACCATTACTATTCTCTTACTATGTTATTAGTACTGGAGTATAAATCTCAAAGTGTAGAGATTTCCCCAGGGAAGCTATATCTTTAAAGGCCTAAGGCAGAGATTGGGAAGCCAAATCCAGCCCTCTTTGCCTTTTGTAAATAATATTATACTGGATACAGTGCTGCCCACTTCTTTACTTATTGTCTGTGGTTGCTTCTCAGTTATAAATGCAGAATTGACTAGTGGCAATGGAGATCTTTCTGGTGTGAAAAGCCAAAAATATTTATTATCTGGCCCTTTAGCCCCCCACCCCCAACAAAAAAATTTGCCAACTTCTGACCTCAGTTGATCACAAGAGGGTGGCTTTCACTTCAGTCTTTGACATGATGTCTAAAAAATAGTAAATTATTTCACAAGGGATGTGCAGTGTTGTGGAGGAGAAATGTCAAGAAGCAAAGAAGGCATTCCCCATTCCCATTAACTCCAATGCTCTAGTCATGCCCTTTGACCTATCCAGACCTCACTTCCTGCACAAGGCAGAAAAAGTGGCCAGATAAGATGTTAGATTAGAATCACAAGATGGCCTAGTAAGTCCTATCTGATTCAAAAAGTCTGCATTGCTTCATGATTTTTAGTTTCTTGCTGATAACACTATTAGATCAAGTAGCTGGTATTTTGACCTGCCAGTAACTAAGAAGACTTTCCAAAGAAGATCTAGACAAGAGCTGATTGAAAAATTCCTAAATGCGTCTTTATACTGCTTGTAAAGGGCATTCCCTAAAGCCCCAAGCCTGGAAGAGGCAGGGTAGCGCAGTAGGAGGGCACAAGCTTTGGGGGTTTGGATTCCTACATTGCAACATATAAGCTGTGTGTTGTTGGGTAAGTTACTTAACCTCCCTGAGCTATAGTTCCCTGTTGATACGGTTTGGATGTTTGTCCCCTCCAAATTTCATGGTGAAATGTGATCCCCAACATT
The DNA here is from genome assembly GCF_000001405.40 of Homo sapiens. Taxonomy (NCBI): domain Eukaryota; kingdom Metazoa; phylum Chordata; class Mammalia; order Primates; family Hominidae; genus Homo; species Homo sapiens. The sequence continues at coordinate 79,302,970 of NC_000014.9, read as the reverse complement.
GGAGGTGGGGCTTGGAGGGAAGTGTTTGGATCCTGAGGGCAGATCCCTCATGAATGGCTTGGTGGTCTGTGTGGTCTGTTTCCACACTGCTATAAAGAACTACCTGAGACTGGGTAATTTATAAAGAAATGAGGTATAATTGACTCACAGTTCCATATGTCTTGGGAAGCCTCAGGAAACTTACAATCATGGCAGAAGGTGAGGGAAAACCAAGGCATATCTTACATGGCAGCAGGAGAGTGAGACAGAGGGGAAGGGTCACACTTTTAAACAATCAAACCTCCTGAGAACTCACCATCATGAGAACAGGATGGGGGAAACTGCCCTCATGATCCAATCACCTCCCACTAGGTCCCTCCCTCTGCACATGGGGATTGCAATTCAAGATGAGATTTGGGTGGGGACACAGAGTCGAACCATATCATGCCCTCCTTGAAATATTGAGCTCTCACTCTGTAGTTACCATGAGATCTGATTGTTAAAAAGAGCCTGACAACTCCTCCCCTATCTCTCTTGCTTCCTCTCTTGCCATGTGACGTACCTGCCCTTTCTTTACCTTCCACCATGAGTAAAAGCTTCCTGGGGCCTCACCAGAAGCCAAGCAGATGCTGATGCCATGCTTGTACAGTCTGCAAAACCATGAGCCCAATAAACCTCTTTTTCTAATAAATTACCCAGCCTCCGGTATTCCTTTATAGCAACACAAATGGACTAACACACCTGGGCATAGTGATATCTATCTTGTAATAATTCTTGTATGGATTACAAACACTGTAATATATGTAAAGCACCTGGCATATGACAAGGGCTTAATAAATGGTAACTGCTACCATTATTATTACAACCCACAGGATGTGAGGTGTTAGACTGAAACAAAAAGGAGCCTCAAGAATAGAGAGAAACACCCATGCATGCTGACATTTGAAAAGTTTGATTGTCAGAAGAAAAGGAGTGTTTTCTTCCCTCCCTTCAGCAAATACTTCTGGAAGAAAAGAGCTCATAGCCACAAACCTGGGAGACTGAATATTATTCACCTACTTATTTCAATATTCCCCTAATCAGGACTGGATTCCCTCTTCTCCTTCCCTCTTCAGAATACATCTCAGTTTCCCTATTTCAACTTCAAGTCCACAAATGCATCCCTTAAACATACACATATATTAGTAGCTAATTCCAAAACTTCAAGTGAGGAGCCACGTAGTTGTCATATATGCACGCGCGCGCACACACACACACACACCCCACAAATACATACACACACACACTTGGATATTAATCTCATATTATTTTCTGCAAGCCCAAATGATTTGTTTGAACCCTGCCTTAGAGAATCAGGCACTGTCACCTCCAAGGGATGATGTGCAAGGGTTTGATTTGCAGCTAATAGAAAAATCTATTTCTTTCAGTTTCACTTCTGTCACACAAGGACCATTGTGTTCCCTACAGTAGATTCCTTCTCCTTTTGCAATAACTACCGAGATGACAGGTCTCAGGCAATAATACGAGCAGCGCAGGTTGAGTGGCACCTATTAGTTTTATGACCACTGGTTCAGAATGGCCTTGAAGTGTCCACAACCCATCTTAATGAAGATGAGTAAGACAGCTGCCGATGAAATCAAATTTCTCCTCTTCCTTCCTTTCCATCTTAAAGTCCATCAAACTTTCATCTTCAGCAACAAAAAAGCTGCCAGGGCAAACACTCAGCCACAGTCAATCACAGCAGATAGTCCACATGATTGTCTTTTGGGAAGTGAGCTGGGAACCTGGGCTTTGTTGCAATGACGACACCAACTTACAGAGAGGAAAGGAATGAGCAGAGTAAAACAATGCAACAAAACTATATAGCATATTAAACGTTATATAGGAGAAATAAAAATCCTCTGAAAAGTTAGAAGTATTATATATATGAAATTGGTAATTATGTCCCTGCAACTAGTAGAAGCAATGTGCTTGTGGAGCAAAGGCAAGAGGAAATTTCCTCAATAATGCAATATAGGCGTGTGGCCTCATTCTCAGCTAATCTGAAGTAATGCTCTTCTTTATAATCCCTGCTCTGGCAAAGTCTTTATTTCCCAAATCTTTATTTTCTGTGAAGGTCCAACTCAGTTATCACTTTATGGTAAATTGTTGGCAAACACAGCAAGAAACCCTCCCATCCTTGCACGCTCACCCTTTTGTAGTATGATGTTGCTGTTCCTCCCACTAAGACACGTCACCTATTTCCCTGCCCATTGAATCTAGCCTGATTCTGAGACTTGCTTTGACCAACAGAATACAGCGAAAGTGTTCTTGTATGATTTCCAAGCTCTCAAGAGTTGCTGCTCCTGTTATATACCTCTCTGGGAGGCAGCCCTGAGACCACCAAGTGAAGCAGTCAACATTAGCCAAATGAGAGGTCACAAAGCACAGAGATATCACGTGAGGCTCCTCAGCCTAATAACCAGAACCAACTGGCAGATATGTGTGTGAGACCATATTAGACCATCATCATCCCCCGTCTATCTGCCAGATAACTGGAGCTATATGAGGGACCTCATGTGAGATCATCCAAGCTACCCAGCTGAGTCAAGTCTAAACTGCTGACCCACAGAATCACAAGCAAATAACATGCCCATTTTAAACACAACTTTTTAGTGTTGTTTGTTTTGTAGCAATAGCTAACTAAACCATACTTCATGTATGAGGATTTCCCCAGCGTCTGGTAGAAAGCACACTGTGCAATTAGAGAAACGAGTTTAAATCTTTGTTCTATCACTTAGTAACTTTTGACCTAGAGCAGATTACTTAACATTTGAATGTCATTGAGGATGAAATGCTAAAAATCCACCTGCTGGGGGATCATATGAGACAACACATGTAAGCACTTCAACATAGTGCTTGGCACGTAGGGGTCACTCATTCCTTTGATACTTGTCGCTTTCCACCTCATTATAGTTACTAGGGTGACTTAAACTGTTAGATTTTCCAACGCAGGAACTTTATTGATCTTTGTGTCACTTGCAATATACTGCACAATGTCTTATACATGGCTGACATTCAATGCATACATGCTGAATGGATGCTCAAATATCCCGCAATATATAGCTTGGCTTCATGCCATCATATTTCTTGGGGTTTCTGGAAGTGGTATACAAATAGGATTGCGGGAAAATAGATCCTGTAACCCTGGTTAAGTCCCTATACTTCTTGAATCCTCCATCTAGGTATCTTTTGAAAGGAGAAAATTGTCTGTCACACCCAAGATTCCTTGCAGCCCTAAAACTTATAATCATGATACAGGTTAGCATTTACTGAACTCTCATTAATATGCCTGATTCTTTACTAAGTTTTTTGGGTATGTAAAAATGTTTAATCACAACAACTGTGCCATATAGGTTTTATAATGGCCATTTTCATAACAGGAAGCTGAAATCTGGGGGCAGGGGTCTGCAGACTAGGTGGTCTTGTTTTTGTAAATAAAGTTTCACTGTGATATACTCACACTCATTTGTTTGCATATTGTCTGTAGTTGCATTGACATTACAGTGGTAGTGTTGAGTAGTTGTTGAGGCAGAGACTATATTGCTTGCAAAGCTGGAAATGTTTACTCTCTTCCTTTACAGGAAAAGTTTGCTAACCTCTGGGTGACCTACTGAGAGAGTGATCAGTGACACTCAGGTATGTGGAGTTAAAAGCTCACATTTCGTCCTCTACATGGCTGTGATTCTTTTATCATGATCACTATTTACAAGAGAAAAAAAGGGTCAAGGCTGAGAAGTTGATGCTTAAATCTTATAGGATGGTGCTGTATCTTTTCAAAATGTAAAACTGGTTTTGTAAATCCCTGGCTTAAAAAGATAAAACAAAAGCAAATAAATAAATAAATAAATAAGCCTCTTTCTTCACTGTTTCCAGTGCCCTCTAAATCAAGATAAAAATGTTTAATGTGGCCTAGCAGTTCCTGTGTGATCTGGCATCACTAGCATAGCACGTTTAGCCTCATCACTCAAAGGTCCTTCTGCCTTCTTGATTCCAGCCCCCTGGCCTTCTCCCAGCCACTCATATTCACTACTACAGACTTGCCTTTGCTCATCCTATTTAAGCAGCATCCTCACTTCTTCCTCTGATGGTCACCTACTCAGAACTAAGAACTCTTCTTTAGTGTAGCACCTCCTCAAGGAAATCCCCCTGCCATTTCTTTGAGAAATTCAAATTCCCAGAACATAGGTTCTCATAACCTTCTAGAATTCTCCCCTGTTCTAGAATATTTTTTAAACTCATTTTATTTATTCATCCAACATTAGATGATTACCTGCTTGTTACAACCCCAGTGATTACGCTAGAAGAAAAAAACAGATGTAGTCTCTGATGAGATTACGTTGCTTCTTATTGTCTCACTTGCTTAATCATTTACTCAGCACACCTTATCTTTCAAATAGCAGCTCACAGGCAAGTATCTGGTGAGAAAAAATGTTAAGACCTCTGAAAGAGCAGCTGAAGAAATGTCAACTGCAGAACCGTGGTCTCCCTATTCATGTATCTGGTTAAGAATGCTCGATCACCTGGCCTTCTGTAGCTAGAAGCCATGGAGCCACACTTGGCACTAATTGAAAAATAAGCAGTGAAAGGATTTGCTTTCAACACAAATTTGAATAACTGGAATTATATCTTTATTATCTGAAGTGGGTGCTTCTGACTTGTCTACCTATTCTGGCATCAGGAAGAAATACCACAGAAATTAGCCTCTGGCTGGTCATGTCATTATAAGCCAGTTATAGCCCATTTTTAGAAAATCTGATGGATATAAAATCAATCTGCTCATACAAATAAATTTCAGATTTGTTATGCGTAATACAAAATTACCTGGTGCTTCAGAAATAAAGGATTCAGGACTGAGAAATGAGGAACTTAAATAAAAGAAACCTGTTAAAAAATAGACAGAAATGAAGACAAACATCTCTGAACTGATGAACTACATGGACTGGGAAATGTAATTGAATTTATAAAGAAAAGTGATAATTAAATGGCTGTCTTTTTAGAAACAATACTCTCCTACCAAGGGGCATAATGGGGAACATAAAACAGCACTTTAAAAGTTGTGAAGCACTATATAAATGAGAGGCATTATATTTATTTTTCTCTCCGTTACTGGTTTTAATCCTGATCACTAATAATTTGAAATGGCCCTTTGGCCTCTTCCTCGCAGTGCTGGGTTGCTACCCAATAACACCTGTGCAAATTCTGAGCCCCACTTGGAAATGTTCCTTCTATACATCTCCATCTATCTAGCCTCAATGCCACCACCCTGTCCTTAACTTTCCCTTTGATGATTTTCAAAGTTTGCTAATGAGTCCTTCCAAATTCAGTCTCTTGTCATTCCAATTCAGCCTACATGCGCTGCCAGAATATTTTTTAAACTCATTTTATTTATCCATCCAACATTAGATGATTACCTGTTTGTTACAACCCCAGTGATTATGCTAGAAGAAAAAAACAGATATAGTCTCTGATGAGATAAAATATAGGTTGCCAGATAAAATATAGGATGCCCAGTTAACTTTGAATTTCAAATAAACAACAAAATTTTTAAATTATAAGTATATTCCAAATATTGCATGGGACATACCTGTACTTTTAAAAAGTCAGTTATTTATCTGAATACAAATTTAATTGGCTGTCTTGCATTTTTATTTTCTAACAACCCTGTCTAACCCCAGTGGAATCTACTTAGGAAATGGATATTAATCAAATAATCTCACAACCAAATGTATAAAAAGGAATTGTGAAATGAGCAACAGGAGAGAGTTCTAGAAGGTTATGAGAACCTATGGCCTGGGAATTTGAATTTCTCAAAGAAATGGCAGGGGGATTTCCTTGAGGAGGTGCTACACTAAAGAAGAGTTCTTAGTTCTGAGTAGGTGACCATCAAAGGAAGAAGTGAGGATTCTGCTTAAATAGGATAAGCAAAGGCAAGTCTGTAGTGGTGAATATGAATGGTTGGGAGAAGGCCAGGGCGCTGGAATCAAGAAGGCAGAAGGACCTTTGAGTGATGAGGCTAAACGTGCTATGCTAGTGATGCCAGATCACGCAGGAACTGCTAGGCCACATTAAACATTTTTATCTTGATTTAGAGGGCACTGGAAACAGTGAAGAAAGAGGCTTAATTTATTTATTTATTTGCTTTTGTTTTATCTTTTTAAGCCAGGGATTTACAAAACCAGTTTTACATTTTGAAAAGATACAGCACCATCCTATAAGATTTAAGCATCAACTTCTCAGCCTTGACCCTTTTTTTCTCTTGTAAATAGTGATCATGATAAAAGAATTACAGGGCAATTGAAAGGGACAAGTCATATAGTATTTACATTACTGATCTGCAAACTGTAAATGCCAAAGATGTCCATTATAATTATAGTTATTACTCAACGTCCTCCATCAAAGAGCCCCAAACTCCTTCACCAGCCCTTCTCACAACTGAGCTCTACAAGCCCATAACTCAGCAAATGGAGTCACTGATTCTGGAACATCTGGTTTTTTTTTTTTTCCCAAGTATATTTCAGCCCATCTCCTGCATGCCTGTGGAAATAATTCTTCAAAACATGATATAAAGTTTATTTCTGCTATGAAGCACTTTTTAATGACCTAATTGGTTGTGACATCTTCCCCTCTAAATCCCCACGGTAGTTTCTACTTATCTCATGATGTTTGTCACACTACAACGTGCATTAAAATACTGTATGTTCTTACCTTTTCAGCCCACTCACTCTATTTTTTCATTAATGAGTGCCATTAAGCACCTTTTGTAAAAGAAGAACTATGTCAGCCAATCAAAATATAGAAATGAATGACTCATTCCTTACCCTTAAGAAAGGCAGAGCCTAATGAGGAAAACAATCACCATCAATAAATAACAGCAATGCAATGTTACATGTTTAATAAAATGAGAGTGAGCTCTTCCACCAAGGCGTGAACCTCTTGTAGGCAAGGCCCAAATCTGATGTATGTTTAAGAGTCTGACACCCTGGACAGTGCCTGGAAAACAGTAGAAGACTGAATATATGTTTAATAATTTTTGTTATTCAATGAGAAAACTTCTATAGCGAAAAAAGTAAACACAGAAGGCTGGGAAACTCACTGTGCAGTGGGAGATAGGGAAAACTTTGCAGACCAGATATTATGGAGTCAGCTGCAACGTGAAAAATTAGTAGCAGTCTACCAAATAGGAGAGATTCTCAATCAAGGGAAAAGTACAAACTAAAACTGATGTTTTTAAAGGGCCTACTGAGTATTGAGGTTAAAATGCTAGGTGGGAGCCCATATTTGTGAAGCATCTATGCCATTTATTCATCCATCCCTTTACTCAGCAAGATTTATGAAAACTCAGTCTTTGCCAGTCACTGCCTTAGGTACTGGGAGTCCAGCCATGAACAAGATCAGCAAGGTCTCTGCTCTCAGAACTTTCATTCTAGTGGGTTAATGGAAGCAATACACACATAAGGAACTGTAACAGAGATATTCAAGCTACAGTGAAAACAAAACAAGGTGGTATGCTGGAGAGACATTTGAAAGAGTGCTTTTTATTTTTTATTTTTTTAAATTTTTTCATATAATCTTGATCCTTCTAAAAAAGAGTGCTTTTTAGACTGGGTCATTAAGGAAGGGCTCTTGAGGGGATAACATTGAAGTTGAAGCCTGACGTATAAGAAGAAGGAGTGGCCATACGGCAATCTGGATGAAAACATCCCAGAGAAAAGGAACTGATCAAATAAAGGCACTATGGTAGTAGCAAGATTGATATATTCAAGGGGGGAAAAAAGGAAAAAGAAAAAGATGAAGGCCAAGGTAGTCAAATATGTTAGGAGGTGAAGTTGGGGATACACAGGGGCCAGATCATAAAGATAAGGGGCCAGCCTTTGTTCTGAGTACAGAGGAAATGACACGAAGAGCCCATGGAAGAGCGGCATGATCAGACTGGTGTTTCAGATGGATGGCTCCAATGGTGAGGGAAACATGGACAGGAGGGAAAAACAGAAGCTAAGGAAGGTCTGTTAAGGGAGGTTGTCACAACTGTTTAGGTGATATGGTTGAAAATGCAATAGAGATGGAAAGGATAGATCTAAGTATCATTTTAATGAATTGTAACCACACTGTAAGCCTTTGGGGACAAAGCTCATGTTTCACATTCCAGTTCAGAGCATGGACCAGTGCCTTGCATTGCTCATCATAAGTACTCAATAATAAAGTATGAATTCCAATGCATTTCTTTTGCAAACACTCCTCTCTGCTGTTTACCTATCCTTCTTATACTGAAGAACCCAGAAATTCTGTACAAGATTCTAGGTCATACAGGGTGATGTAATAGAAGCTGGGTAGCAGTTATTGCTCTGTCACTTAATACTTGGATGACTCTGATCAAGTCATTTATGCTTCTTTGGTTTTGATTACATCAGCTTAAAAAAATGGAATAAATAACAATCATACTACCTGTCCTCCTACCACACAAGGCTGTGCTGTGGATCAAATAATTACCGTGAATTTTCTCTGTAACACTGTAAAGCATTCTATAAATAACAGTAATATTAGAGGGATATGCCCAAACTACATCAACCACAAAGGGAAACTGGCCAAAACTTTGAATACTGATTTCATGTGTTGTATCTAATATTGAATGAGTTGATAACATACCCTTTCCTATGTAATAATTACCTGAGTTAACACACTACGTTATTTACCAAGTCATTGATTTAAAATACAGAACAAGAACACCTAATGTGTGCGAGAAAATATGCTAGGTATCTAGGGGAAATAAAGATAAAATAATCACGGAAAAACCAAGCGTCCTTCCTTTTAGTGTCATGCTCCTAAACTGCAGCACGACCCTCAGATACTTCCTCTTTATGGACAGATTGTACACTTTTCTTTTTATGACAAACCATCTTCAGCCAAGAGCTCCTTGGGTAGTTAATGGTGTCTTGTGATGATCCTTAAAACTCTCCTCTCATTTCACTCTTGATTAAAAAGAAAGCAAGCGCGGGATCTAAGCTCTTGACTGATTTATACTTCAATTTAATTTCTCTCTTTCTCTTTCCTCTTTCTTTTCACTGGATAAAACCTTCCATGTAATTAGGCTCAAAAGCTCTCATCAAACAGTTTGATTGAAATGCAGCATGCTGAATTTCCCCTCTAGGCTGCTGGGGCAGAGAGAAAGCAGGAGACCCCGTGAGGGGGTGACATGCCTGACACGGAGTGGGAGCTGCTCTCTGGATGGTAATTACAGGAAACAGTGCGAGTGTTTGGAGTATCTTGGTTGTCATGCTGCTCTCTGCTCCTTCTGTGCTCATTTGTTATCCAAGTGGTGCTGGAGACAATCCCAGTTTCCCAGTCCACAGCAAAACAGATGACACCTGGAAAGCCTGAGTGCTAACATTGTGATGCAGTAGAAAGAGACTAGAAAGAGACTAAACAGCGAAGCTGAAAGCTTGCACGTTGCCCTCGCCTTGCCTCTAATTTGAAAAGTGTGATTTGGGAAAACTATTCACAAACTTCTGGTCTATTAGCTTTTTCACATGAAAAATAACTTGATTGAAAAGGGCTTCTAAAGACCTCTTGCAGGTTTCGCATTTGATGATTCCACAAATGCAAAGCAGATTTTGAGTCCAAAGAAAGTCCTTCATCAGAACATTATTTTAGGGGCATGATCATTCCTCAGGGCCTGGAGAACTTGGTGATGAGGTTGTGGATCTATTTCTCAGGGACCAATATCAAGTTACTTTGTGAAGGGAAGTAAAAGGAACTATCTCAGGATTTTCTGAAAGAGAGTTCTTAATAATAATTAGTTTAACCAGTCTTTAATAGCTAACAGTTGATGAGGTTACCAATACACACACATAAAATGGCTCCCTGGCATGGAAAAAACAAGAAACATGAAAACACTAGTCATCCCAAAGAAGGGGGTTGTCTGTATAAGGCCAAGACTCTAGGTTTACCTTCCTATTTCACATAAAAGCTATCCTCTCCTGAGATTATTATTGACATGTTGACATGAGCCTGTGACAACACTGCACTGATAAATGATACCAGAGCAGTAAGAAGCAGGTACTGAAACCTCCCTACGTCTGTAATGCACGGCAGACTTAGTTCTCATGTCTGATCTTTACATTCTAAGCTAGGAACTAATTGGGCTGCTATGAAGGTTTTCTGTTACATCGTTTATTTTGGTTCACACATTTACCTACATGTGAAAGCAAACACACACATATTCACTCAAGTTGGAAACCCACTGCCCCTCTTAACGTATTCATTAGTTTCACCCTCATATTTAAAGAACTACTACCATATGTATGAAGGGCCAAGATTAAAAGTAGATTCAAGGTGATCTAATAAGATCTGATAAGGGTGAGGAAGTATTTTAGAAATCATTGGAATTTTGCCTTTTGGCATTAATGAAAGATGAATGCCACACTTTTGAAAGCAAAGCTGGCAGGCCACCTCACAGTTCCCTGTCTTTCAGGTGAGAGAATTAAAATCAGGAAAGTTTGGTTGCTTGCCTAAAATCATAAGTTGGGGAGAAAGCCTATCGTAATTACTGGAAAAGAAACTTCCTGAAAAAAACGGATTCTTAGAGTGAATTAAACATGAGGAGAATGAGGCACCAATGGGCTTCCCTGTCAAAGGAGAGGGGGTCCCTCACTCTTGGGTCCTTGATTGAAGATGTAAAGATGTAACTATTCATTGCCAGCAGATTCTGGAACTGGTGTGAGTTTCCAAAGGCTGTTTTGAAAAGCCTCTCCTATAATGTAATAGAATTTGTGAATCTAGGGAAGCATTCTGATTAGTTGCTTTCAGTATCCGGGAACTGTTCTACATTTGCACAGATTACCTGACCTAAGAGTTCAACAGATGCTATAGGCTAACTGCTTAGTAAGTGGAAGAACTAGAGTGAGTTGCTTAACCCTCTGGGGCTCAGTTTCTGTTCCCGTAAATTCATGATAACAATAGTGCCTACCTTGAAGGATGGTCAGTAAAGATTAAATGCAGTAAGCTAAAGTATTTGTTAGAATACCTCATATGAGGTAGGTGTTTACCTGTTTAGAAAATATTCTGTCTTCATAATTTATCCTGTATCTAGGTAGACCCTAAGAGGTCCTTTTAAAAATGGCCCAGTATTCCATTTAAGAATACCACTTTGAAATTTTTTCCCACCATTCAGGTAATATTTCATAAATACTGAAATTTTAAGAGTATTTATGAAATATTGTACTGTTTTCAGTATACTGTTTTCAGTATAATTTCAGTATATACTTATAGGTAATATAAGGCACAATCAGGTTGGGTATTTAAGCAGTTTGAACAGGACAGGTTCAAACTGCTTAAATACCCAACCTGATTGTGCCTTATATTACCTATAAGACCTTAGGCAACTGACTCAAACTTTCCATGCCTCCGAGTCTGCCTCTTTAAAGTGGGAAAATGGGCTGGGCATGGTGGCTATGCCAGTAATCCCAGCACTTTGAGAGACCAAGTTGGGAGGATCACTTGAGCCCAAGAGTTTGAGACTGGTCTGGACAATACCGCAAGACCCCATCTCTGCTAAAATAAATAACTAAAACTTAAAAAATGGGAAAACAACTCCACCTACTTCATGGGAGAATTAAATGAACTATAACGTTTATAGAAATGTCAGGCATATTGAAAGGCAAAAATGTTAGGCATAATAAAAAGTGATCAATTGCTATAATAAAAACCAAAGTAGATGTTATTGTCATTCTTATGAAAATAGAGGTTTCCTATCATCTTGTGTTTAACTTATCTAAGAAGTTTGTTTTAAGAAAAGAGAACATTCAAAGGTGACCATTCCATTATGCAGAGATATTGATTCAATGAAAAAAGATATATAATAATTGGCTCCTGGAAAAAATAAACAATAAAACTTTGGCTATCCAAATCACAGGATCCTCTCTCTGCCCAAATTATTCATGAGACCAAATTCTCCCCACAGCTGAGTTTTAACCCTTTAATCATCTTTTCAAACTTTTAAATGTATCAGAAAGTGGCTAGAATGGACCCAAAGAGTCTGACGAGGTTTTGCTTTATTGTGATCCAGTTGTTTTCTTATAAGAGACTTTCAGCTTTTATTAAAACCAGGGTTTCAAAGCAATTGGAGTTCCTCTATTAGTTATCAATTGTAAAGAAGCCGCAATGCTTTTGCTGCCTATCACCGCTTGCTCATGATAAATCTGGGATTTTAGGCCAGGAAATTAAATGACCCATAGACGCATTTTTAAAATTTTCAACCAGCGTGGTGGCTATTTTTTTTTTTTTTTTTTTTCTGGAACCACCAGAGCAAAACCCAGCCTGGGGAATCTCTTTAGTTCCTCTTGCTACCACATCCATGAATATGTCTGCTATGCTTATGCATTTCTTCAGGTCTTGCATGTTCTTCATTAAATGAGTTGACTGTGCTGCAACCTCAAATTTTTGAAAATGCTCATGTCACTTTGGTGTTTGGGATGATTATTTCTCCTACTTGTTTGAGTCTCTGCAGATAACCAGACTCTGCCTGTCTCCTCCTCCTTTCCCTTCTATGACACCACAGATGACAAAGGTGCTAAGCAAATAGATGTTAAGTAAAACACCAATGTGGGTTCAGTTTAATACCGTGCTCTATCAACCCGCTCTATTGCCTAGCAACCATGGTGGCTCACCCCGAGTTCATTTTCATTTAAATGTGCCACACAGAAAAGCAGCCTAAATATATATCGTCAGTTCTGAAGCATATAATCTGTAAACTACAGGAACAGGCAGATCATTTCCATTAGTTTTTTATGTAGCAAAAACCACAATTTTCACCCAAAGAGTGTAATTATATTCAAATTCTGAACGACTGCCTCGGAAATAGTTGAAATTCATAGTTTGGGGGAAAGTCACTCAGGAGTGAATACACATGGTTATGTTTTAACGTGGGGGGGTGAGAGGAATATTTCAAAACAATAAAAAAGGGAGGGCAGGACAGTATCTCAGAAAATGTGGCTTGCTGGTTTCCAGGGGCTTTATGTTTTCATAGCCACTCAATAGCTGGTAAGCAAGAGGTCAGGACTGGGGCTGGGGACAGGTCTTCAAACAAGATCCTGGTCACAACTTCCAGATGAGGAGCAGCAACAGGTGAACAGACAGGCCATTTCTTTCCTGCCTTCTGGCAAGTGACATCCAACCAGGACAGGAAGCATCTTTCACAGAACCCCGAATCTGAGCACTTTTTCACACTGAGGTTTCCTATACAAAGGAAGCCTTCAGAACACACCAAGAAACCCTACCTTGGCACACAAAGCCAGGAACCTATTAGAAGGATTCTCATGATTAATTTTTTTTTTTTAGATAGAGTTTCTCTCTCATCACCCAGGCTGGAGTGCAATGGCGTGATCTTGGCTCACTGCAACCTCTGCCTCCCAGGTTCAAGTGATTCTCTTGCCTCAGCCTCCTGAGTAGCTGAGATTACAGGCGTATGCCACCACGCCCAGCTAATTTTTTTATTTTTAGTAGAGATGGGGTTTCACCACGTTGGCCAGGCTGGTCTCAAACTCCTGACCTCAGGGGATCCAGCCACCTTGGCCTCCCAAGTGTTGGGATTACAGGCATGAGCCACTGCGCCCAGCCAATAATTAATTTTAATGGAAGGCCTGGCAAGTCCAACACTGGCAGAATATGTGCCTGCAGGACATAATCTGGATAAGGGGAGATTTCTCTGAAGAAAGAGAGATGGGGAACAAGTTTGTAATTTAAGAAAGTGTCTTGAAGGACTGAGAAGTAGAGGAAAGAAAAGGCAATGGACTCAGAGTCATGATGTCTGTGCTCCTGACCAGTCCTGACACTAACTGGATGCTCTTAGTTGAGTCCTCACCCTGCCTACCTGGAACATTGAGCTCTCTTATATCTCTAAGTTCTACGAGCCCATTGGTGTGCTTTTGAAGGGTGCATAACTTCCTGTGCCTTTGCTTCTTTTATAAACTAGCATCCCTCCTTTCCTAGTGCAAGAGATTTGATCATGTGGAACCTCACTCAATCATTTATTCATTGATTCATTCATTCAAAAAAAAAGACATATCAAGTGTGAGTGTTTCATCAGTCTGCTCCTTTTATTTACTATCTCCTTGGGTTGAAACGGGTTCAGGCAGATTGGAAAACATTCAAATACTTATTAGGAATTGGAAAGTCTTGTAGATGCTTTGGAAAGGTGTGTTAGCTGCATTAATCAAAGTGCTTCATCAATCTGTGTACTTGATTCCTGACAAAAGAGCTTGATGTGTTTGTGTAGTCTGTTTCCTGAGTTGACAGACTGTGTGGTACAGCAGAAAGACCAAGAGTTTTCTGGTCACAACCAGGTTTGAATCCTGGCTTTAACACCATGTTAATCAAGCCACTTAACCTCTCTGAGTCTCAATGTTTTTAATCGTAAAATAGTCACTTTATTAGGTTCAAAGGCTAGTGAGGATTAAATGAAGTCACATATGTAAAGCATTTGGAAGAGTACCTGTCACACAGTGGGTGTACATTATGTGTTGGTGTATAACTCAAGCAAGTCTCTCTCAAAATCCTAACTGTAAATAGAAATAAACCATTTCCTCTTTATAAACCCAGTTGCTAGTCTGCCCCCTGCTCTGATATGGCTAAACACAGCAGAATATTTTAAACATAACATAGAGCTCCTTTCTAGCATTATTAAGGTGTGTTTAAATGAAAGCTGCATTCTTCCCATCTCAGCGTGACTGCACTGAAGTTGGATTGTGGGCTTTATAACATCACAGTGTGCCACTCTGGTACATTATGCTGCTTCTGTCTGAGGGGAAAAGAGAAAACCTGGCTTATGGCTTTGGCATAAGTTATTATGATAGTCAAGAAAATAGACCTATAAAATACTGGCAGACTTGTGGAACTCAGATAGGTTTAAGATGCACAGTGGTGTCTTTAAAGACATACAAATCAGAGACTCATGCAGTTCCAGTGCTGGAAAACATTTGGAGAGATCATCTCACTCAAATCTCTCATTGTACAAATGATGAAGATATGAAAAGGAAAGTTTTCCCCAGCTATGGTATTAAGGAGCTTTCATACTACATGCCATGCAGAAAACTACAGGTAAAGCCAAGAATATAGGTTAGGAAATCAAGGTATCACACAGAATGTCTAAAAGTTAAAAGATGAATATAATTTAAAAATATAATGTTATAATTCAAAGTTACAGAGCTGGTCAGGGAGAAAACTGGGGCAAAATCTATGTATCAGGACCATGTCTCTCAGTAAGAATTCTGTTTCAAATTCAGGCTTCACAAAGTCAATTCTAAGAGTTCTGGCATAATATTGTGCTCCTATCTGCTCTACAAACTTTGAGCCCTAGTAAGCCTAAGAAATTGCATTAAAAGAAGTACTTCACTTCCACATCTGAAGGTAGTTGTCCCTAAAAACACCTGCTTCTTCCCAGCACAAACCAGATTAAAAATCTTAGTTTACAATGGACACTGAGAACCATGTAGGAATGTTTGAATTCTGCACAGGTTTACTGCAAATGGGATCCAATTCTGAATTTCCAAAATGATCTCAGAGTATTTCTTGGAGTCCTCTCTTTTCACTTTACTGAATCCCTGAGCTTCTAAATGATTTGCTATAATGTGTTGGTCCATGCTAAAATTTGCCTGGCATGACTTTCTACCTAAGCAGACCATTACCAAAAATCACAAGCTGACTTTTGTCCCATGCTGTGTTCTAGTGCCATAAACATGAAAATACAGTAAAGTGTTTCTCATCTACATTTACTCAGAGTACTATGTAAATGAAATAATCTCTAGGAGGCAAAAAAGTGTATGTATAGATAGGAAAATGAGGAGAACCAGCAGATGCATGTTCTTTAACCACTATCTACCAACCAGCAAATGATCAACATTGAAGCTCCTCTTTGTGCAAGGAATTCAAAGAGGGCAGCCTTATCATGAAAATATGTCTCATAAAATATTTAACCTGTACACATTGGTTTAGAATGTACAAAATACAACTTGTTTAATCTCTCATACAATTTCTGTGATATAAGTATGGTTAACTATTATTATTGCTCACTTTAAAGGTGAAGAAATTGAGTCTCAGTGAAACCAAGTGACTTATTCATTGTGACTTAAGTTCACAATGTTTCTTAGTAACTTAGTTTCTTAGAGACAAAGTTTCTTAGAACCAAAGGTTGAGGTTGAAGGCTATTTCCTCCAACCATAGTTGTTCCCACCTCACCTAACACCACACTGTCCACCAGAATGCCATTATTATTTATCTATTATCAACATCAGCACGCATTTTGAGCACAGAAACAAACAGACAAAGAAAGGTATACCCTTTCCCCAAAGATGGAATGCTTTGCTTAGGATTTAGAACAACCAGAACTTATATATACACTATATATATATATATATATATATATTATTCTCTCAATCATCTCACCAAGCTTCATAACCATGTCATGAAGTAGACAATTTACCTCATATTTATATTTTCAGATGAACTTTCAAAAAATAAAATTGAAGAGAAAAATAATTAAACTGATGCCTATTTAACATATTTTTCAATTGAGAAATATGAAAATTGAAAAACGAGAAATTTATACTTAGTTAACCTATTTTTTCTCTTGTTTTCACCAAAGGCTGAGATGTGAAAGTAGTTGGTAATTTGTGTTTCAGGAAAGGCAAAGAGCAAACAACTGTAGTTCATAAAGGAGTCAGTGGCAGGAGTGGAGGGTCTGGGTCAGAAGGGTAGCAGGTCTAGGTAAAGAAAGCTTTAATGTGTGGACATTAGAGCATGTGTCTGCAGTCAGACAGAATTAGTCTATGTGCAAATAAAGATCTGGACTCAGTCACAGAAGATAAACTGAGAAGAAAGAAAACACAAGTCTTCACTGAACCAATAGCTGTTTTTTTCCCCATATCTGTAAACACAACATTACCTCTTAGGGCACTATCTTATGAATTTTGTAAATTGCAACCATTGTCACTGAAGTTTTATTTTTCTGCTGTGAAAGTTTGAGTCCAATGGGTATTCACTGAACAGTACAGTTTTACTTCTTTCCCAATAACTGGGCGGGGGATGGTGGGGGGCGGTGGGGGGCAGCGCACGGTGAGGAGAAAGAGCATTAGGGGCTGAACTGTGTCTCTTCAAAATTCATATGTCAAAGCTTTATTCCTGGTACCTCAAAATGTGAGTGTATGTGAGGACAGGGCCTTTAAAGAGATGATTAAGTTAAAATGAGGCTTTTAGGGAGGACCCTAATCCAATCTGATGGATGTTCTTATAAGAAGGGAGAATTTGGACACACAAAGACACCAGGGATGCATGCATGTAGATCAAGGTGAGACCCTATGAGGACACAGTGAGAAAACAGCCATCTGCAAGCCAAGGAGAGAGATGTCAGAAAGAACTAAACCTGCTGACACCTTGGTCTCAGACATTTACTCTACAGAGCCTTGAGCAAACAAATTTCTCTTGTTTAAACCACCCAGTCTATAGTACTTTACTACTTTATGGCAGCCCTAGCAAACTAATACAAGGAGGAAAGTATGAGTAAGTTCAAGATTTATCTTCAGAGATTTGCTTCCCTCCCTGGTCACCCAGAGTTCTAGTAAAGCAAACTTCTTTGGGCTGATAAGTTCATTTACTAAAATGTAAAATGAAATACATTTCTCTTTTAGATTCAAAATCTGAGGTGAAAGCAATCAAGTTCTTACTGTAAAATTTCATCCCGCAGCCAGTATCGGCAAGTTTTTGTGTGTGTGTGTGCGTCTTGTTTTTTGTTCTGATGATCTTATCTCTCCTCTCTATGATATAGCTGCCCCTACTCCACACCACCCAGTGATCCATGTTGAAAGTCCTGAAGAAATTGACACTAGGATATTATAATCATCCTATGGTGGTCTCTCAAGAACAAGTTAATCTCCAGACCCACCACTCACCAGTGAATTTTAAAGAAGAAAAACAACGCATCTAGAGGAGCCAAAGATGGAGAAACCAATCTAATTAATTCATCACCAAGGCCAAAGATATATAAATCTTATCATTTGATCTGTCAACCAACACTATGAATTATTCAACTCCCTGAATCTCAAGAAGGCAGGCATAAAGAAAGTGGTTAGAAAGCAGCTGGCTGAGCAGAAGAAGGCACTCAATAGATCAAAGCAAAACAAGCCCCCAAGGCTGAAAAAACTTTGGGGGTGGATCCCTGGGACAAGGAATGAGTCCAAGAAAGACTCCAGGATCATGTGTCACAAGGGGGCCCATCACCACCACTTCTGCTAAGATGGTTTGAATAGGACTTTTATACTCCCCCTTTTCACACACCCTGGTTTCTGAGCAAGAGTTCTTCCTGCAAATATAGCGTGGTGTGTTCCCTTTTAAAACTGAGCTTTCCAAGAGTTCCATGTCCTCAACTAGTCCCCACAAATCGTCTACAGAGGCAGGAAAGTCTGCTGTTTTATAGAGAATAGCATTTAAGGTACATATAAAACCTTGAATCCTTAGAGAAACCTGCATTTAAACTATAAATACTGAAGCATTTTTTAGGCAGATGTACATTGGAGATACATATATATATATATATATATATATATATATATATATATATATGTATTTTTAGTAGAGACGGGGTTTCCCCATGTTGGCCAGGCAGGTCTCAAACTCTTGACCTCAGGTGATCCCCCCACCTCGGCCTCCCAAAGTGCTAGGATTACAGGTGTGAGCCACCATGCCCAGACACATTGGATTTCTTAAAGGTCCAATGACCTTTAAGAGAGAGAGGGAAAAAAAGAAGGAAAAAATATACAAAAGTTGCTTATGTAATTAAAGCTTGGTAAACAAATATATTTTACTATTTATATATCTGTAATCACTAAACTACCTTGCACTTTGATAAAAAATGATATTTACATATGGAAATAAAGCCAAGGATGAAAAGGAACCTGGAGGGATATTTTAAATAACAGGATAATGTAAACCTTCATTTTATAAAGGATATTTTGATTTTGTATTAATTTCGCTTGGTATTTGGATCTCCACCCACTCCTTGCACTTTTTAAAATATGGAAGCATATATATATATACTTTTGCAATTATTCCTAGCTGAACACCACAATGTCTTATTCGGTTCTGTATCTTCAGCAGTAGCCCACAGCCTGGCACAGAGTATGTGCTCAAAGAGTATTGACTGACTGGTGAACAGAAGAGAGCATGAAAGTGGGGTGAGGACTCTAACAGAATGGGGAAGAGCCTACTAGATTCCCATTAAGAAGAAGGTTAATCCTATCCTGAAACACAATCCTAATGTGAGATTTTTTGGGGGCACCCCAGGTAAGTGTGGCCTTAGTCTCCCTAATTTACAAAGAATCCCAGCATCCTCTAGGCTGTCCTGGGATAAAGGCTTTAAGCAAATCTATAATATAACCAATTTTCTAAAGCTTGGAACCAAGCACAGGCAAAAGTGTAGGTAAAATATCAGCTATTTGGAGGATTTCTGTTTCTTCCATCTGTCTTAGCATGAATCTCTCTATAGGTCTGGATAGTAGAGAAAGGGGGTGGGAGCACCAACTGATGAACAGCAGCTTTGAGGACTTTGGCTTCTCAGGAAATGGGCAAGGGAAGAGCAAGTGTAGTTAAAAAAACAACAATCTCTTAAGTCCAAAGAAGATTCTTGGACTCAAGGCTCTAGTTTTCTTTCATACCAAAATCAAGGGCATTTACTTTTTCACAGACAACAGAGAGTGCTGCCTTTAACTCTGGAATAAGATTGGCAGTAAATCATCAATAACAACCATCAGTCTCTTGGTGCCATGCCTCCTACCACCTCCATCCAAAAATATTTTTTAAAACAATTGCTGTTAGCTAGGTCTTTGTCTTGGACTAGGAAAAAGCAAGTGTACACCAAGTAAGAATGAGAAGTGCATTAGCAAAGCTCTGTGGGGTCTTCTGGTCCTTTTAGTTAGAGACGCAAAGGGTCACAGCTTGGGTGCAGGATGGAAGCCAGAGGTAGGGATATTTTGTTGATTGCTGCTTCTCTTGATTTTATGCTCAAAAACACCAATTAAATATGCAAGGAGTCTACTTAATACAGATGCATTCACTCTCCAAGCCCCAAATCAATGAGTTGGGACTTCAGGATTGAAAGAGGATTCTGAAGAGCTGAATTCATGAGTTTTCTTATCTCAGCCATGCCAGACCCTGGATGGAGTTCACTGTACTCTACAGCTCTGGTGAGTCTGAGGGCCTTTTCTGGGGTCTCTAGCCATTTACTTACTTTCTTCTTATTTTCCATCACACTGAACCTTATCAGATGTAGGTTAATGAGAAACTAGACTGGGGACCAGTCAAAAAGATTTAAAGGAGACTGAGCAACCAATCGTTGAAGAAATAAACTAAATAAAGGGTCATGTTTAACCTGTGCAAGGCTCAACCCCTTTATGAGAGAGAGAGAGAGAGAGAGACTGACTCTGACTTAGGGACCCTAGGGAAGTACTGCTCTGCAAATTCCATCACTTACTAGTATCTGCTGTAACTGTTTACAACCCGAACAAAAGATATCAAGACCCTGCCACCCATAACCTGTAATGCATAATCTTCCTCTCCCTGCTGATCATTTACAGTAATTAGCAAAATTTAGCTAATCTCTGAGCATTTCCGTGTTTAATTATGGCTATTAGTAACAGTCTCTCTGGCTTCCCCTATCTCCCACTCCCTCTTTTTTTCCTGTCTTACCCGCTCCCCCCAGTCCCTCTCCCCCTTAGGAGCTAAGTTTCCATGTCAATGAAATTGCTTTTTTGGTGGTTGTGGCTCTTTTTTCTCCTAGGTTTGTTTGCTTCTTTCTTTTTTAAGGGAGCCAACACCAGACCCAGCAGGAGTCACAGAGAAAAGAGCCACCAGATCAAGATCAAGCAATCCCTTCTTTTCACCATCCCCCTCCACCAACCTTACAAGCTGTGAGCTGCTTGACAACTCCATCAAATAAAATTTAAAGACAGAGTCAAAAAGAGCCAGAGTATGTGCTGGCATTTTCTCAATGTGCTTCCACTTACACTACAGACAGCATAAAGCCAAAGCTCAGGGCTAGGAGGCAGCAGGAAGAATCAACTTTCCAAATAGGGTCTGGATGTTATCAGTCTTCAAAATACAAGGGCAGGAACCCCCTAGTATGGTTCACGCTCATGTTCCCTGGAGGGCTGTTCCTGCAAACATAAAGCTGCCAAAACCAACACAAATGGCCACGGGTTGTTAATTATATTTTCTGCCTTCTTATATTTGGCTACTTTTCCCTGACCATTACCACACAGGCTACTTTATAACAGTTCAATCAACTTCAGGCTGAAAACCTGATTCCTGTTGTCAGCTATTCCCACCCCACCCCCACTAGCTCCCAAGCAAGACCAGTCTCCATTTCTGTGTGTCCTACTCTCCTTACCATCAGAGTGGAGTGCATAGTAAACAAATTAAGAAGCTCCTTTCTTTAGAACAGTTTACCACAGCAAGCTCCTACCTTAGCTGCAGACATCGCCCTTTTAGAGGCAGCCGGCTAACAGCTGAGTATCATTTTCAGAGCCATAGATCTCTTCCCTCAATAGCCATGTAAGGAGGGTTGTTTGGAGTAAAACCCATCGTACCTGTATTGTGTGAACAAGCCCATCTCTGCTACCTAAAGATGAAATAACATTTGCATACACGGGGAATCCAAGTTACTGTCATTTACACTTGGGTAAATTATAAATGAACTTAGCCTTATCTTACATATTGCTTCCTTTCTGATAGCAATAGTAGATGTGTAGTTTTAGAGATAGCTGCTTTTTCCACTAGATATGTGGACAAACATAAAGCTGCCAAATTCAACACAAATGGCCACAGGTTGTTAATTATATTTTCTGCCTTCTTATGTTCGGCTACTTTTCCCTGACCATTACCACACAGGCTACTTTATAACAGTTCAATCAACTTCAGGCTGAAAACCTGATTCCTGTTGTCAGCTATTCCCACCCCACCCCCACTAGCTCCCAAGCAAGACCACAGCAAAGAAGGGTGAAAGCAAGGTGAATGAATATTTCTCCAAGTACAGCACTGGGACTCACCTGATAAGTTGCCTGTCTCCGTGGGGGTGGAGAGAGTAGAAGGTTGCAAAAGAGAGAGTGTGGTGTCTGTGCAGCTATGAATGAGGGAGCTAAGGGGAAAAGAACCCTTTAGAGAAAAGTGGAGATGGTTGTCGGAGGCTAGGGGCAGAAAACACTAACCTTTATGAGAAAGTAGAAATTTGCTTCCCTCATGGACATACGATGCTTTTCATCATTTTAAATTCATTTTTTTTAAATTCCCTTCCCACCTTTGACACTACCTGCAAGGCTAGTGGGTTAGCGAATTGCTATGCCCCATTAAAAGGATAAAGAGCAGAGAGACCTACCGTGTCCTCCTCGAAGGGAAACAGGGGAACGATAGATAGAAATAGGCACTGAGTGATGCTTGCTGCCATGGAAATGGTGCTCGTGCTGAGAGTGAGACCCCGGCGAGGAAGAGGTGGAGGAGGAGGAAGCTACATTAGAAGAACTCCATACAGAGCTGACGATACATCCCCAGAACAGGAACCAGATCCCAAGCGTCCAGGCCGGCCGGCGAGGAGGGCTCCGTCTCGCGTGGATTCTCAGGTGCATGGTCAACGCACGGGACCACTACAGATGGGCAGTTTGAATTCCAGCCAGTGAGGAGTAATGAAGTTCATGATGCCCAAGGGCCCATCATAGCAGGAGGAAGAGTTGCCAGAATTCGGGGAAGAGGGAAGCAATATGCGCTTTCCAAACAATGAATCAGTTAAAAAATTACTACTTAAAGAAAGAAAAAAAAAAGATAAAAGGCAAAAAGCCCCTTCTCTTTCCCGGAGCTGAAATTTAGAATGCCAGGGTCCTCCCAGGTATAGCAAACCTCCTACGGAGCCCCGGCATGCCACGCATGTCAGGGGAAGACCGGCGCGGCTTCCTCCGGATCTCTAGGCACTTCGAGTCTGATGACTTAACCGCACACTCCCGGGAGCCACACAGAGGAAAGGTGGCAATGAAGGAAGAGAAGGAGGCAGCCCGAACCCAAGTGGGTTCAGGTGAGTTTATCCCAACATCCAAGGAGTTTGAACATTTTTATTTTCCTGTTTCCACTTCCATGAGATGCAATGCAGAACTGCCAGGCAAAAGGGGGCTGCAGGTGGAAGAGTTCTTCGGGTGTTCCTGGGAGTCTCCGCGGAAGGGCGCGAGGCTTTTAACCCTGGGCGTGCTGGACTAGCGCCACGGAGCAGCCGCCGGCTTCCTGGGTTTCCCAACTGGATGAAAACCAGCAGCAGCAGCAGCCACCGCAGCCAGAGGAAGAGAATAAGAAGGACTGGAGGGAAAGAGGAGAGGAGGAGGAACCCGGTGCGGAGCAGCCACCCAAACCAACGTGGCACGGGGTGGAGGGAGGTGGGTGGGCGAAATCAGCGAGAGCGCAAGAGGAGGTGCCTGGCAGGCTGCAGAGGTGGCCGAGAGGCGGGCGGGCGCCTGCGAAGTGCGCGGACCAGGGAGGCACAGGTGAAGTGAAGCGAGGAGTTGGGGAGCCAAATTCACAAATGGGCAAGTCATATGCAAATAGCGCACTCCCGAGAGCAAATCAGTGCAGCCCCAGCGCTCTGCCGAGGGACTGGCTGGCTCCGGAGGAAGGAGGGGCCAGAGCGACCCGGAATCCCGGCCCTTCCCATTCAAGCACAGGCTCGTATACACCCGCGCGAGCCTCCAGCACACGCCGCCCGCCCTCCTCTCGCTCGCGCGGCTCCCGCCCCGCCGTGTGTGCGCGCGTGTGTGACACCGACAGACCGACACTGCGCCTTCTTTATCACCCGTGCCCTGCTCTTCTCCCAGGCGCGTGAAACCAAACTCCAGCCATGAAGGCACCTTCTCACAATTTCGGAGGAAAAGTAAGGGCGGCGGCTAAGGCCGAAGTAGCTCCAAATAGAAATAAAAATAAACCCCTTGAGGCAGCGCGAGCGCTGGAGCTGCTGCACGCGGTGGTGCCGCACGCGCGCTCCTCCCTGCCTGGCGGTGGCTTGGGCGACCACTCTCCAGGCGCGTGTGTCTCCCGGGGTTAAAATGCCCAGGGCCCCTCCCGCAGGGCGAATGATGGGAATCTGAGTCCGGACTCCCAAAAGTGAAGGTGGAGCGGTGGCCTGGGGACTCCAAAGGGTGAAGGGCTCCGTGATTGGCAGTCCTTCCAGAAGGTGGCTGCCACCCCCGGTGGTGGATAGGACACTGTTGGGATTCAAAATCCAGAGGTTATCGTCCGCGCCTGTAGTCCTGATCAAAAAACTTCAGAAGGGGAGAGGGCCAAGTCGGCTGGCTCAAAGAGAAGTGACTGGCGCCTGTCCGGAACTGGCTGCAGAAGGGCTGCCCCAGGTGGGTGAAGTCCCCTGGGCGCTGGGCATCAAAGACAGCACGGTGTTTACCTCACGACTGAACACGCAGGGGAGAGCCAGAATGGCAGCACCTGTCCTCTGTCGTGGCCATCTGTGACTCCAGGAGGGGACTGACCCAAGGCTCTGCCAGGACACGGTAACACTGTGGACTAGGCGGCATCCACCCCTCCAGTATGTCTCATGCGCAGGAAGGACAAACCCAACAGGCTGCCCTCTCAGGCCAGGTTGTTGTCCACACAGGTCTTGCTAGCTTTGACTCCCTCCTACCATTCACCTTGGGTAAAAAGCCCATTACATTTGCAGGGAGGAAGGGGAGGTGAGTGAACAATACTTGCTGGTTAAAACATATATATGTTGTATTTAGGAGGCTTTTTTAAAAGGAGCTTATAGCACCTATTATATACTCCACTCTCATTTCAAACCCCCTGAGGATAAAGAACAGGGATTAAGACAGCCCTATTCATCCTTGAGACACCCCAAGGAGGTGTTGAGGAAACAGCATTATGTCTCTCTAACAAAAAGACCAAACCTACAGGTGATTTGCCTTCAAGGTCATACATCAAGTCCATTTCAGAATTTATGGCAGTGAACTGGTATTCTGGTTCTGAAATTGGTGTCCTCCAAAAGCTTCAAGCTGCCCGTAGTAAATGATGCACACAGTCACCCTAACTGCCCTGGCTCTCATTTGTAAGGGTGGTCCAGGATCCACAGCCCCCCAGGAAATGGCCCTCTGACAAGGTCTTGCATACTTTTGGGTGTGCCCCCACGCAGTGTCTTAAACCAGCAGCATGCTCTCAGGGACACCACAGCAAGGGGAAGGGGTGGTTTATGGACATTCCATTGAAACCTCAGTTTCCTCCTCTGTAAAATGAGGAATATGCCTCCCTCTCGAGGTTGTTGGGGGTTTAAAATGAGAAAATATACAGTATCTGGTAGAGCACCTGACAAACAGTGGCAATATTCTTTGTCCACTAGAAAAATAAGCTGAAGCTCTAAAAAGGTGAAGAACAGGTTAAGTACATGGTTAGGGTCTTATGCTATTATTGCTAGAAAAGCCAGAAAAAATTCTTAATATCCTAAATATCCATGATAATTTCCACTCAATTCAACCACTCCTTGATTTAGTCCCCAGGTGGATTTCCACTGCACTTTTGGCCTTAAGGCGGCCTAGATGACTCTGCTTAACTCTAATGCTTCAGCTCCATCTCCTGCCAGATGCCCCATTCCTCCCTACTCTCTAGTTCCCCAGGTCTTTCTGCTTTGATCGTGGGAAGTTTTTTCTCATCCCAAGGCCTTTATAGCATTGTTGGCCCCTTCTGTCTGGAAGGCTTTTCCCCAAGATTTTCATGTGATGGGTGCATTTCAAATGTCACCTCCTCAGAGACCCTCTCTGGTCCTCATTTAAAGTTGACCACCACCCCTGGAAGGCATCCCCTCCCATTACCTTGTTTTATTTCCTTGACAGCACTCTCCAGTGTCTGAAATTATTTTATCTGTATACTTGTTCATAGTTTATCTCCTTAAAATGGTTATAAGCTCTCTGAGGGCTGAGTCTTCATTTTCTCCTGTTTTCTGTGTGTGTGAAAAAATAGGTAGCACATCATACGGGCTCAGTAAATACTGGCTGAATGAACGAACTCAGTGAATCAATTGCCAATCTCATACTCACATTTTCCTTATGCCATTAATTTTGCTGATGCGTTTGTCTGGCTTTAGCAGTGTGAATCCTCAAAGACAAGCTTTTCCAGAGTTGATAAACTGACCACCTACCCACTTACTGTTTTTCTTTTTTTTTTTTTTTTTTAATTGGCATTGAGCATTGGAGACTGCTTTGACTTCATTCTGAGGATGTGTGGGAAGCTTAGATGGACCTTCCAATTAATTCTCTGCTAGGCAATAAAGAGAAAATAAATCCTTAATGCAGTACAAAATCTGGAAATGCTGCTGGTGCATCACAGCTGGAACTATTCATTTCACTTGTCATACTTATAATTTATTTATTTACTTTTTGCAAAATGTCAAAAGAAGTCACCGTGAATTTTGGTAAGGCTGATTCCATTTGGGAACACAGTTAAATACTGAGAAGACTCTTCAGAGGACAAATGTAAGACAGGTCTATTTTACTTCTTCCACTACAAAGAGACAACCCCCAATTATCCTAATAAAATGAATGTCCCTCTCCAATTTACCCCACTGTTAATTTTTTCATGTGTTTCTTATCCCTCCTGCCCCTCCCTCTAGTTAACACATTCCTATTTCGACTTCTTTTCTGGATCCTGTTCTTTTTAGGTCTTTTAGAGCCTATATTAGTCTAACACATTAAATACATTTTTAAAGATTTTTAGCTCCAGTGATACTTTCTAAATACTGCCTGTAGCTAGAGTTCCAGCTGAAGGATTTGTCATCCCTTGTCCTACCATCAAAAGCTCTCCTCTTCCTCTTGAGTTGGCTTTTCTAGTGGGTCCCTTGAGTGATAACACTTGGGAATCAAGTGTATAGCTACAGGATGAAAATGAGAGTCCACTTTTAAGATAGAAAAGAAGAGAAATAGATTTAGAAACACTATGCTCACCCAGATTTCAAGTTGAAAAATATAAATAATTTCACAGGAACAACCACGCTTAGCTCCACTTGAATAAACCCCCCACGGAATCCTAACCATACTCTTTGGATCCTGAAATTTCTAAATGGAATACAATTTTAAAAAACCCCTATATTACTTCAGGCTTTAGAACTGGTATTATAAACCTTCTCCTCTTGCTTTTTAAATGTCCCCCCCCCCATCCTCACCCTGCAAGAGAATGTCCCAGGGTAAGGTGTGAGCATCTTTACCCATCAGACCCTTTATCTTGTTTTGGTCTGTGCCTCGGCTATGTGATAGTCTGGAGATTCTTTGGCTTCTGAAATAAGCCTTGTGATTGTATTTAAATGTGTCAGGCATCAGGAATCTAATGCAAAGTTGCTCTGTCCATCTGCTTGTTTTCTACAGTACTGTACATTTTATCTCTGCACAGGCCTCTCCTCACTTGTATAGACTCTGACTTGCCACTTTGCTGCCAGCAGGAGCTACCTGTCAAGTTGTTCTTCGCAGGCACATCTCATATGAACTGCACAGAAACAGGCAGACCAGAAAGCATCAGAACCGACTGTTTCTGTGTGAGCCCTAAGCTTTTTCGGTGAAGACCCTTTTTTTTTCCAAATATGAAGAGTAGAGATCCTTACTTTCTATCTCTACAAAGGGCTCCAGAAGGCAATTTAGGGAGAGAAAAACAAACAACTAAACTCTCATAATGTGAAATGAAATAAAAGTCCTGAAAAAATACTGGGGACTGTTAACATGGCTATAAATATATCTAAGGGTTTCAGTGACACCATAAAACAGTTCGACTTTGCTTTATTACATGTCAGTAGATTTATTTATAGCCACATAATTCATCCTTCTGCTTATTTATTTAAAAAAGCCATCCTACATAAAAGCGGATTTTGATTATATTTTCTATTTGGAGATATAGAAGAGAAGCTTTATTCTTTTAGACATCACTTCTACAAGTATTTGCTTAAAAAAAGACAATGGCATCCTTGTATAAATGTATAGTTTAGAGAATGTATATACTGCTTCTGCCT
Source organism: Homo sapiens (assembly GCF_000001405.40). NCBI lineage: Eukaryota > Metazoa > Chordata > Mammalia > Primates > Hominidae > Homo > Homo sapiens. Next base: position 79,274,889 of record NC_000014.9, on the reverse strand, counting down.
CTTTAACTTATCCTTCTAATAAACATCCATAGTTATGCCCTTGTCCTCCCTGTGGCTGAAATAGGGATATCAGGAGTTTGGATGTTGGAAAAAAAATATTTTTAATCTCTTGAGTTTGAATAATGTAGCTGGGACATTTACTTCATTGAAACTTATACACATTACTTTAAGGATTAAAAAAATATGAACTCTTCCTGTGAAAACCTTATTTAGCTTCCTTTGAACTCCAAATGAAGTTATTTTAATATAGAAGCATTTTTTTTTTTTTCTCTTTTACTCAAAGGCAGGGCTTAATTAGTTTCTCATAGAGAGATTTGGGCATTTACAACCTGTTTGTCTTCACTAAGCTTAGATTGGATATCAGATCTCCACTAAGCTTAGACTAGCTATCGAAGGTCTAAACTTCGTATCCTCAGCACCATGGAAATCTCTGTCCGGTTTTAGGGAATCAAATAAAATGAGTTATCATAATATGTTATCACAATAAAAGAAGGAATAATCTCATTTGTTTCTAGGATAAAATATTAAAGATTTAGAGAATACTTTTTATTTTTTTGGTACAGGAGACTTTATTCAGAATCATTGCAATAGGTATGGGGACCACTGCAAATGGTCTTGAAGTCTGAGAGAGACAGACTGGGCTCACCTCCCTGCAAGACACTTTGAGAGTGCATTCAGATTTAGAATGGGCTCTGGTGCTCCACGGCCTAGGTTCAAATCCTGATTCTGCTTGTTAGCTGCTGTGAAAACGTGGCCAAGATCTTAGCCTCTTTTTTTTTTTTTTTTTTGAGACGGAGTCTTGCTCTGTCACCAAGACTGGAGTGCAGTGCGTAATCTCGGCTCAATGCAACCTCCACCTCCCGGGTCCCAGTTCAAGCAATTCTCCTGCTTCAGCCTCCCGAGTAGCTGGGATTACAGGAATGCACCACCATGCCCGGCTAATTTTTTTGTATATTTAGTAGAGACAGGGTTTCACCATGTTGGCCAGGCTGGTCTCGAACTCCTGACCTCGTGATCTGCCCACCTCGGACTCTCAAAATGCTGGCATTACAGGTGTGAGCCATCATGCCCGGCTCGATCTTAGCTTCTTTGTAGTTTAGTTTCTTCATCTGTGAAATGGGAGTAATCATACCATCTATCTAATAGGTTTGTTGTCAAGTTTAAAGTTAATACATGTAAATTGTCTAGAAATAGTACCCGACACACAAAAATGATCAATAATAAAAATTATTTTATTTTATGTATTTATTTATTTTGAGACGGAGTCTCACTCTGTCACCCAGGCTGGAGTGCAGTGGCGCGATCTTGGCTCACTGCAAGCTGCGCCTCCTGGGTTCATGCCATTCTCCTGCCTCAGCCTTCCAAGTAGCTGGGACTACAGGTGCCCACCACCACGCCTGGCTAATGTTTTGTATTTTGAGTAGAGACGGGGTTTCACCATGTTAGCCAGGATGGTCTCCATCTCCTGACCTCGTGATCCGCTCGTCTTGGCCTCCCAAAGTGCTGGGATTACAGGCGTGAGCCACCGTGCCCGGCCCATTTTATTATTATTATTATTACTACCATTATTATTTTTTTCTCCAGATGAGAGAAAAGTCTTTAGTTTAAAAGACTAAACAAGAAAACAGTCTTCTTTTCCTGTTTATACAAATCTCCAGGGCAGGGAGTAAACACCCTCCCTCCCACCCATTTTTTTTTTTTTTTTTTTTTTTTTTTTGGCCACAGAGTCTTGCATTGCCGCCCTGGCTGGAATGCAGTGGCGTGATCTCTGCTCACTGCAATCTCCGCCTCCCAGGTTCAAGCAATTCTCCTTTTTCATCCTCCCGAGTAGCGGGAATTACAGGCGCAAGCCACCATGCCCAGCTAATTTTTTGTATTTTTAGTAGAGATGGGGTTTCACCATGTTAGCCAGGATGGTCTCCATCTCCTGACCTCGTGATCCGCTCGTCTTGGCCTCCCAAAGTGCTGGGATTACAGGCGTGAGCCACCGCACCCGGCCCCCACCCATAATTTCAAATCACGGAATGCAAAATCTGTCCCACATGTTACCCAACTCATGGGATTCTCTTTGCCTATCTTCTGCAGAAAAAGGGGCAACTTCATCACATGTTTCTTATAAATGTCCTCCAAGCCAACTCCAAAACAACGAAGCTCATGATTGGTCCCTGGAACCAGGTAATGCAGGCTATGAAACCCCAGAATTGTTTTATAAGTAATTATTTGTCAGAGTAGGGTAGAGCTCTCAAGATCCTAATCTGCTCTGGGACGTGAAAGGGCTCTCTAGTGACTTCTCTTTCCTATTTCTTTAATTCTTTATTTTCTCTCTTTCTTCTCTAGAATAAAAAATAAATTCTAATAATTAGCCTTCTTCCTAGAAAACATGCCTTCTAAATATTTTAAGAATTTCTATTGGATTTATGTAGTATTTCATTATTATTCAACATTTTTTTAAAAGTGATTGTGACTGTACCTCTGAACTAGGTTCCACTCAGGATACAAAGAAACCGCAGCCCCTGTCCTTCACTTTGGTGCATTGATTCATTTTCTCCATGAACACTAAATTTATACATACTATGGGCAAAGCACTGCATGAAGTCCAGCAGGTCAAATAATGAAGAAGAGATTTCAGGCCTTAGGAAGTAAATAAACTAACAGGAAAAAAAAAAAAAAAAACCTAAACCAAATTAGACCAGCCACAAATCCATTTAAATACACTGCTTCCCAAATACAATGTGATAAGTGCTAGAACAAAGGTATAAACAAAGCACACAGGGGAATAGAGAATGGAATTGATCTACTGATCTACGGCAGGGAAAGCAGGGACCATCAAGAAGGATTCATAGACAAGGTAACACGTAAACTGAGTGTTAAAAGACTAGAGTTCAAATCCTGGGTCCACTGGCTATATGACTTTGAACAAGTTACCTTAAACTTTTTGAGCCTGCTTCCTCAACTGTACAACTATGAATCATCTCTACCTCATAGAATAGTTTTGAGGGTTTGAAAAGAAGTTATCTTGGAAAAGAGCATTGTAAATTGACGTTCACTATTATGATGAACTTGATTTTGAATGATTTTAAATTGGCAGAGAAAGGGGAGTGTAAAGTAAGAAGATTATCAATGAGGGGTGGAATCATCCACACGGGGCTTCCTAAAGGAGGCAAACAAGCCCAGCGTTCACTTGGCACTTAAACCTTTAAAGCCCAAAGAGCTCCAAAAGGGATCAAGTTTTTCTTCCAATGCAAAAGAGAGGTATTCCATGGGATACAGAAAGGCAAGGCACGGCAGGAGAAGGGAAGGGAAGAGGAAGGGAGGGAAGGGAGAAAGGGAAGGAAAGGGCAGGCCAGGGAAAGGGAAGGGGAAGAAAGAGGAGGGGAGGGAAGGGGAAAAAAGGAGACAGGAAGGGGGAAGGTAAGGGGTGGGAGGGGAGGGAAGGGAAGGGAAAAAAAGGGGAAAGGAAAGAAAGGGGAAGGGAAAGAAAGGGAAGGGGAAGGAAGAAGGAGGAAGGTAAGGGAGGGGAGGGGAGAGGGAGGGGGAAACTCATGTGTTGGAAGCCACATTCTTTATTTCCAAGGAATGGGTTGCCATACTCAGAAATGTCAAATAAAGACCATATTTTTAAAAAAGTTTAATAATGGCATAGCCAGGAGTTTTCCTCTGTTTAATTTATTCCATGTAGTTACTTTTCAGATACTAAAGTACTCATGAGATCCAATTTAAGAGACTACCATTTAATTCTGGGAACATCCTAGTTCAAACATCACCTGACTCAAGTGTCTGTCTCACTCACTATTCCATGAAAAGTACATCGTCTAAGATAGATACAGATCTAAAATAAATGGTCACTTTCCTCTTGATGCTATGTAGTATTAAATTTACTTAACAGAGAATTTGAGAGGAGAATAAGATGAATGTTCTCTGAACAGAAGGTACAAAGTGTTATTAAGCAGCCCCAGAAATCTTTGCAATATGGGGAATAAGGGCATTTCTCAGTAGTATTGAGAATTTAGCACATTCTAAAACTGATGACGAGGTGAGGTGGGGGATACTGAAATGTAAGTTTATGTCATAGGTAGAAGAAACAGATTTTTCTTAAAATAGGTGAAACAACATTATGATAACAATACTTTGGCATTGATGGTGTCTATGTCTTCAAAACTTACTATTTCCAATCTGGACAGGCAGAATTAGTTGTTCTTTCCTAGCTTCCTAAAGTACAGTTCTGTTCACACTTGCCACATTCTGTTATTATCAGTTGATTTATATCTGGGTTCCCTACATGATTCATGGAATCATGAATTCTGAAATCATGCAGGGAATGAGGGCCTAGTCCTAGAGCCAGACAGCTTAAATTCCAGGGCCAGAGAGCTTAAGTTCAAATCTCTGCTCAATCGTTTCCTTGGACAAGTTACCTAGCCTCCGAAAACTCTTTTTCTCACAGGCAAAATGAAAACGACAATATTCCTTATCTCCAATTGTCCACAGTTTTAGGCCCATAGGAGACACTTAATGGATATTTGTGCAATACTATCGAGATATTTTGAATTACTATAGGGGAGAACATTTCTTCTGTGTATGTGTGTGTGGTGGGGGAACCTCCAAAATATGCAATTATCTCATAAGGAATCACTTTCCAACATTTGGAGCCACAGCAAAATCAAAGATTCACTGCAAGGCAGTGAGCTCCCCATCACAGGGTATGCTCAAGTGAGAGATGCCTGTTAGGGACCCTGAAGCAAGAGGATGGAGTATATAACCTCTAAGTTATTTTTCACATTTTACATTATGTGACACATCATTAAAAGTGTTTTCCATTTGCTTTTTACTTCTGAATTTACTTAAATGTCATCCCTGGCCTTATTTTGAGGCTCAAACCCAATGCCTGGATGCTGCAAATATTCTAATACACTTCTGTTTATTAAAATCTCATTCATTGAGGTGAGGAATCTTAAACTTCTGTAAAATGAATCCAAGACTAAGCAGTATTGTTGTACTAGGACTTCATTTTTTATTTCTGCATGCAATACAAGTTGTCTGTAGACTTATTAACAATTTTATGTTTCTATTTTAAATACCAAACATTTTTTTTTCTCCACTAGCAACACCTACACAGCTACTGTTTCTGTGATCTGAGAGGGCATTTTCCTCTGGTGAAAAGCTCATCGGTATGGGAAGAATATGCTGGCTGGCTTGCTTACCCTATTGTTCCTTACCTCTTCAGCATGGAACTATGGTGGGCTAAACATAAATAAAAATGAATCACCCTAAATAAAGACGTGTAGCCTGAGAACCGTGGGACAGACTGCAGAACTACTTTGCTCTGTCTAACCAACACAAGGCCATCTCTCCTCAGTCGCCGGTAAGAAAAAGAAGGATGTTAGCTATTCAGGAGATACCTAGGATAAACTCAGATACAGAAGAGAGTGACTTGTTTAGTATCATATGCTATATTAATGTCAGAATAGCTGGAATTTTCTTCTAGAGTGAGGCATGCATAGCTCCTACAGTATCATAAACTTCAGTACAAAATAAGAAAAATAGGGCCGGATGCGGTGGCTCACTCCTGTAATCCCAGCACTTTGGGAGGCCAAGGTGGGTGGATCACAAGGTCAGGAGATCGAGACAATCCTGGCTAACATGGTGAAACCCCGTCTCTACTGAAAATACAAAAAATTAGCCGGGCGTGGTGGCGGGCACCTGAAGTCCCAGCTACTTGGGAGGCTGAGGCAGGAGAATGGCGTGAACCCGGGAGGCGGAGCTTGCAGTGAGCCGAGATTGTGCCACTGCACTCCAGCCTTGGCGACAGAGCGAGACTCCGTCTCAAAAAATAAAATAAAATAAAATAAGAAAAATAAAAATTTAGTAAGAAAATAGTCCACCATGAGAGAGAGTTAATAACCACAACAATGGTAGAACAAGGGATCAAATAATGTGACGTAATAGAACAATCTGAAATACATTGCCAAAATAAATATGGTTGAAGTGATTAAACAAAGGCATTCTAGAAACTGCAGAAGAAAAATAAAGGTAATAATAATAACCAATACTTGATTAATGTGTATAAGATATATATTATTATAAGTATCTCTGTTTTACAATTGGAGAAAATGAGGCATAGATTGTAACTTGTCTATACTCACACAGCCAGGAGGTGCCAGAGCCAGTATTTGAACCCAAACCACCTATCTACTGTGTCTACGGTCTAAATGGCATTACTATTCTGTTGCTAAATCCTATGCAATTTATGTGTGCAAGTTCTAAGTCATACCTTAAGAGGCTGACGTTTTCTTTCTGCTTTCTCTTTGCCCCTTTTCTGGAATGTGGATGAGGTGATGAGCCAACTTTGCCCATGTGGACATTACCACATGTTTTCTTCTGGTTAACATTTGCTGAACTGATAGGTTGCCCAATGTGCTGTGGCTGAGCAACAAGAAAAAGGCAACCTGGATCTGGAGGTGACCTAGAGAAGCAGAACTACCATACTGTCAAACAAATATTCTAACTAATATGCTTGAAACATGTTAACCAAAAGAAAACAGATACGGAAATATTATTGCCAGACAAAATAGACTTTACATCTAAAAACATCGTTATATCCTGAAGAAAAACAATTAACTAGATCAGCTGTAACAGTCCTGATCTGTATCACCTAATAACATAACCTCAAAATATATAAAGCACACACTGACTAAAAAAAATGACAAATCTGTGATTTAAAAAACCCACTAAAATGTATGTTCCATGGGAGTAAATGTTTTTGTTTCTTCAATCACTGTCGATTCTTCAGAACCTAGAACAATGTTTAGAAAAAGTGTTTACCATTAGTTGAATAAATTTACCATATCTTTCTTAAAACTGATAAGCTGGAAAAAGGTAGCAAGGCTATACCTAATTTAAATGGCATAACTAACAGTCCAGAAATAATGGACATATCTGAAATAAAATTATATGAGAGCCCCATTCTTTTAAGAATATATGGAACATAATGCAAGAAGTCCACATACTGAAGAATCAGCAATAACATTCCATATCATCAGTCCCCAATGTCATACCAGTCTACGTCAATTACAATTTTAAAATACTCCCAATAGTTGTGATCAAAAATTAAATGATCTCAGCTGGGTGTGGTAGCTCACCCAGCAGTTTGGGAGGCCAAGTCAGGGGGAATCACTTGAGGCCAGGAGTTCAAGACCAGCCTGGCCAACATGGTGAAACCCCCTCTCTACTAAAAATACAAAACTTAGCTGGGTGTGGTAGCTCACCTAGCAGTTTGGGAGGCCAAGTCAGGGGGATCACTTGAGGCCAGGAGTTCAAGACCAGCCTGGCCAACATGGTGAAACCCCCTCTCTACTAAAAATACAAAACTTAGCTGGGTGTGGTGGTGCATGCTTGTAATCCCAGCTACTAGGGAAGCTGAGGCATGAGAACGGTTGAGCCTGGGAGGTGCAGGTTGCAGTGAGCCAAGATTGCACCACTACACTCCAGCCTGGGAAATAGAGAGAGACTCTGTCTCAAAAAAAAAAAAAAAATTAAATGATCTCTCATTTTATCATTGAAATGAGATGCTTTCTCTTAACTATAAATTTATGCGTGTTTAGAAAATAATTCTATATCCTTAATTATCACTACCTGTATATAAGAGAATATTAAAGCAATGCTTTTAGAAAGAGAACTGTGATCAAATTATTATCTCTCTTTCTCTCCTTTTGTTTTTCTATATGTTTATAACAGGTCACCCAACACACGTGTCAACATGCCTACTTTGCAATAAAATAAAACAAATGACATACAAATGATAGTCAGTGTGGACTACTGGATAATAATTAGTTTACATATCTTTTGTGCCCTCCTGTGCAATACTTACAGTCAACTTTCAATTATATATATGATAGTTAAGTGATGACCAAAACATTTGTGTTAGATATTGATATTTATTACATGGTGCTTGAGCAATTTACAATTTAGAGATTAAAAATATTTTGTGTTACCTCTCTAAAAACGGGAATTGCAACCTGGGGTTACATTAAATTAGTTGATGATCCATAATTCATTCCATATTCAGATAACTTGCAGTTGTTCATATAATTTGTTGGAGTCTTAGGAGATATGGACAAATAGGTTTACTTTTTGTGTTCCCATCACAAAACCAAAGGTCTCTTAATCTCAGAAGTTGCTCCCTTCCCTTTGGATGTCAGAGTGAGTCCCTAGAACATTTACGCCATTCTTGTTACTAGTTGATGGCTAGAGATGTACATTTCCTGATACTCCAGTCTTCACTCCCAAACTCAAGACCTTGACAAAATCAATTATACTTTGAAAATGTACTGCCCAACCTGGGAACTAAATGCCAGAAAAATGCATCTGATGTTTTTTGGGTTTTGATCCTCTCAAAGTGAAAATCCTGGAAACATTATTCCAAAAGAGAAGTCTGATATGATCAATAACATCAGTCCCAATAATGAGCATAAAGCTTACCTTTAAGAGAAAGAAGAGAAAGCATATATATTTGGCTCTAAAGGTTATATATATATATAACCTTTATAGCTGGAGAAAATCAGAAGGCTTTTGAAAAGTCATGAAAAAAATCATACTTTTGTTTCTTTAAACCAGGTTTTGAAGTAATATAGAAAGGACTGTATTACGTATGATTTCCAATAGTTTAATATGTCATGGTTGAGACATATTTTAATCACACTTTAGGAATCAAAAATATCTGGATTTTAGTCCCTGGCTCAAACATTAATTGCCAGATATCAGGCAACTCACTTAACCACTGACTCTCTCCTATAGATTCCCAGGTGCCTTTTAAAAATTTTAATTTTTATAATAGAAACAGGGGCTAAAGAGCTACACAGCTTTGGAATAATAACACCTGCTGGTATGCTTGTGCCTACTATTTATTTTTCCTGTCCCACGTCTCTCCTGCCTTGCTTGGCCAACCACCCACCTGTTAATTTCAAGCAAATGACTATAGATGACAAAGTATTTACTGTAGATTCCCTAGGAATAAAGAAGATAATTCACAAGGCAGGGGTGGTAGAAGAGAGATGGGAGGGCAGAAGCCCTCAGCAGGCATATATCTTAGCCCAATTCAGGCAGAGAGCAAGCCATTTCATCCAAGGGAGTGTTGCGTGGGAGTGAAACATCACAGAGGGAGTCATTGTGCCTGATAGATGTAATTTCCTAAAATGTATACCTTGTCGGTGTACAGAAGATGAATAGAGAAAAAGGTCAGTACATGCAAAGCAAAAAAGGATGAAAGGACAGTATGCTATTGGGTGGTGCCATACATTCTTGGTGAGTCTGTAACACTGCTAACTCACAGGCTTGACTCATTGCTGAATGGACTATACAGCCATAGAATCGTGGTGAGGCTTTAAGAATAAGAACATCCAGCAATATGTAAATCTTCTTCTTGAACATTTCTCTTCTTTAGCTACCATTGGCACTAGGGTAACTGGGGGTGGGGTGTAGAATGGTTGTTGCTTCGGGAATTACTCAGAAGGTGGTGGTTACTATATGTGGCACTGGGGGAGAAATAATAAATACATAAATAAAAATGACAAGAAACTCTTGGCCTTTTCTTCTCAGCCCCTGATCCTCCATTATAGTTAAAGAAAAATCAGGAAAATTTAAAAAAAAAAAAAAAAAAAAAAAAGAGCAACCCCCATTCCTCCTACCCTCACTTACCAGATGTGGAAGAGATTTTTGGTTGTTTGATTTATGTTACACGAAGATGATCACTTGGAGGACCCAAAGAAAAACAAAAACTAAGAATGTTTATAGGTTATTAAAATTTTTTCCATCTTAACTCATTCTTTGTCCTACTATATACGACATTTGGCCAGTTAATTTAAAAGTTAATTTATTTTATACAACATCAAGTTAGTTTTTAAATAAATGTATATATACACACACATATATACTAGATATATACATGCGTGTATATGTAATACTAAATAAACCTCTGTAACAGTTTCCCCTTTAGTAAGCATAGTAGCAGATAAATTCTGGTTATTTATCATAAATTCCCATTTTGAAAAGTAGCATACTTCATTCTAATTTTTGATAGACTTATTTGCATGTAGAAGGGATCTGAAAGATGTTTTGATTTTTCTAGTTACTCTCTGCAATGTGTTTATCAGTTTGGGATTTGTTACAGACTGAATTGTGTTCTCTTAAAATTCCTATATTGAATTTGGAGATACAGCCTTGAAAGAGGTAATTAAGGTTAAGTGAGGTCATAAGGGTGAGGCACTAATCTAATATACTGGTGTCCTTATAAGAAGGCAAAGAAACACTCGGAGTTTGGGGACATACATGCACGCGCGCACACACACACACACACACACACACACACACACACATCATGTAAACACACAGAGAAGGCAGCCATTTGCAAGCCAAGGAGAGAGGAGATCTCAGAAGAAACCTAACTTTGTGACACCTTAAGCTTGGACTTCCAGCCTCTAAAACTGTGAGAAAATGAATTCCTATTGTTGGCCGGACATGATGGCTCATGCCTATAATCCCAGCACTCTGGGAGGCCAAGGCAGGCAGATCACTTGAGGTCAGGAGTTTGAGACCAGCTTGGCCAACATGGTGAAACCCTGTCTCTACTAAAAATGCAAAAATTAGCCAGGCATGGTGGTGGGCTTCTGTAACCCCAGCTACCTGGGAGGCTGAGGTGGGAGAAGCGCTTGAACCTGGGAGGCGGAAGTTGCAGTGAGCCATGTGAGTCACCACTGCACTCTAGCCTGGGCAACAGAGCAAGACCCTGTCTCAAAAAAATAAAAATAAAAAATAAAATAAATACATTTCTGTTGTTTAAGCTACACATTCTGTAGTATTTTGTAAAGATGGCCTAACCAGATTAGTATAGGGTTGTTGGTAATAATAATGACATTTCTGGAATTGAAGAAATTCAGATCCAGAGAGAATCTTAAAGCTCATCTGGCAAAAGAGTTCTTAGCTTGGAGTTCAAGGTACTGCTATAAAGAGAGTCACCTCTTTGCCCACCTCCAAGGTGGTGTCATTTACACCACAGTCTGTGAATTGTGCCCCCGGAGTTGTGTAGTACATAATATCTATGGTAGGATAAGATAAAAACTCCTTTCCAAAACTATATTCAATTTACTTTGGGTATGCATTTTTTTTCTGGAAAAAAAGTCCAAAGATTTCTTTATATTTTTAAAGAACTTCGTGACCCAGAAATGTTGAAGAACCATTTATTACTTCATTTATTACTATTTATTACCTTTCATTAAGAGCCATTTATTACCTCCCTCATTTTACAGAGGAGAAATTCAAATCCTAGAAAGGCATAGTGCTCAAAAATGGATAGAAACAAGTAAAAATCAGATCCAGGATCTCCCACCTCCTGATTTGATGGTTAACATGTTCCTGCTTGTCTCTGGTTACTAATGAATGAGATAAACACACACACATTTACCAAAGTACCAAAACATGTTTTCCCCGGATTTTATCATTTCACCTGAGCTCCTGAGCTAGGGCAGAGGGATGTCTTCCTGTTTTTCAAAGTGTAAAGATATGAACATAATACTTAAATTTCAGCATATTCATTTAAATGGTAAGATTGGTAATCTTTTAAAAGAAATATGCCAATATTTGCCTAGTCTGTTATATAGATGTGGTATTCTGTGGCTGAAAACATGGAGATTTCTATATGTGTGGTTAACAAAAGAATTCCATTAAAGGATGTGTTCAAGACCCAAAATTATAGCTTTGAAGTTGCTATAAATCTTAATATAAAGTCTTTGTGTCCTTTCACTTGAGGAATGGCCAAGAGGTAGTGAGTGCCTCAAATTCCATTTTCCTGGTAGTTCATCATTAAGACTGAGGTCAAACAAACAGGCCACAGACAGCATGCATGCACACACCCATACTTTAAGTGTGAAATCCCCTAACCTCCAGCTGTAGACATCCAGCAGATTCAATCCCAGCAGTAGTCAGATACACAGGCCCTAAAAGATGATAAAGTAGAGTCCGAAAGCTACCCACCTCCTTCTTCGCTTTGTACCTATCAGTGTTGCTATCCACCCAGGAGCCATCCACTTTCTCCAGGTTTCTGTGAATGTCCATAGCCATTTGCCTTCCCTGAAATGCAGAACTCTCTCTTTGCTTTGAAGGCCCTGTATGTGTGCAGCACTTACAGGAGTGACTGCCTCCTTGTACACATTTGTCCTCTCCCCAAATTCCTGAAACATAAATATGCACTTCAACATTTTAATAGAAGCATTATGCTTTTGACAAATATTTGGAAAAATGATTCTTCTTCTCCTTCTTGTTATTCTTCTTCTTCTTCCTCCTCCTCCTCCTCTCTCCTTCCTTTCTCTTTCCTCATCCTCTTTCCTCCTCCTCCTTTCTCCTTCCTCATTCTCCTCCTTCTCCTCCTCCTTTCTCCTTCCTCCTTCCTCCTCCTCTTTCTCCTCCTCCTTCCTCTTCTCCTTTTCCTTCTTCCTCCTCCTCCTTTCTTCTTCCTTCTCCCTCTTTTTCTTCCTCTTATCCTTCTTTTTCTTCCTCATGCTTCTCTTCCTCTTCCTCCTTCTTTTTTTCTAGTATCTCAGAATTTGCTGATCAGAGAGCAGCCCCAACCTCAGCATCCATTCTTCAGGGGTTCACTTGCATGGGAAGAAATGTGAGGATTGGGCACTTCATTTTTCCTTTTAAAAGAAGTTGTGGGCAGGAGGGGCCCAAGAGAATGTTTCATGAAATTCAGACTAATCCTGTCTTTCATACTGGTTTTATACAATGTTGAGTGTGTAAACATTGTATAAATGTGGAGCATTCCAAGCCTCCACATTTCCTCTAAAAATTTCCTTCCCCTGTGTTTCCCTTCTCTGATGCCTTGGATACCCTGAAATATAATCTGGGCTCCAAGGACATGCTTCCTTCTTTACTCCCACCACATTAGCATCTGAGAGTCATACAATAGGCCAGGTAGTAGTTGATCTAGAGAAGCAAGAAGTGGGAAAAATCTCCTTGCCCACTAGCCCCAAACTGCCAAATTCTCAAAGTCCCAGAGCCCCTCCTCGGTACCCTCTCCCATCCTCACTTCTTCTATCCCATGAGAACCACAACTTGCCCGCAGGATTGCAGTCTCATTAGAGGCCAAGATAATATGTGCATAGTGCTAAAGAAGGAAGTTTATTCTGGAAGGTAAATTGTTCTTTCACATCCCCCTGTATTCTGTAGGCATGTTGTCATCCCCCCGCCCCCACCCCATCACACACACACACACACACACACACACACACACACACACACAGCACCTTTCTTATCTGTGGGATTTCATCTCACTCACCATTTTCCCAGACTGGACTTATGCTTTCTTTCCCTACTTATGTGAGGCACTTAGCATCCTCAGGTCTAGCTTAACTGCCTCCTCTTCCATGAGACGTCCCCTCATCTTCAAGTCAGGATAAATCTCTCCTTCTCTGTGCCCTTTCTGCATCTCTAGTCTGGAACCGAACAGATCTGCTCCAAGAATGCAAATCTGCATATGTCCCTTTCTCCTTCCCTTACAGGAGATCTCGCCTGTGGAGAACACATCTCATTCAACTTTGCTCACTTTTCTGGCACATACCAGATTGGGTGATCAACAAAGTATGTTGAATTGAATTGAATTATGTTCTGCTTCTCTTCTTTGTTAACCCTCAAAGTCCACTCCTTCAGCTTTCGTTTCTTCTCCCTGTGTCTCCCAATTCCCACTGCTCCCATTATGCCCCTCACATATATCTCACCCTCCTCCTCACCCCTTCCCAGCACATCAAGTCCAGCACCTCACCATGTCCTTTTCCAGCTGGAGCCCCTTTCTTACCTTTGAATCTCCTCTCAAACTTTGCCATGAACCTGGATAAAGAACTAACTAGCCTAGGATCTTTGCAGACAGCAAGTAGGTGTTTGGGTAGCCCAGATCTTGTTATCAAATCTGTAATGGTGAAAAATATGTCATTGGTATCCTAACCTAAAATTCCAAATACATACCCTTTTAGAAAGCATTTCCTATGTGGCCAGGTACTTGACTATAGTATCTCTTGACTAGGACATTGGGAATATTCTGGGTTAGTAGGTGTTTGAGTTCTGGAAAGAGAATATACCATTTCTCTGGAAAATATAATCTGAGCTCTGAGAATTTATAAAGTAACATTGAGAATACAACCCTTTCGGAAACTGAGGGCTGCCTGCTCTTCTGTTACATTGTGGGTGGCAAGTGGGGTGGTGGTGTGACTATGATATTGGGCTTTCTATTTCTGTAATGTGGCAAGGATGCTGAGGAATTCAGCCCCCAAACTGAGAAGTGCAGAACAGCACCAGATACGAAATCATACAGAGACAATATACACCTATGTTGTGGGTGGCTGTGCGGATGGGGGTGAGGGATCTGTCAAAAGTACTCCCCAACACAAGCCTCTCTGTTTTCTGGTTTAGCCTAGTTCTCTGGGCCTTAAATGGGAGAGTTTTTCCTTTTTTGTGAGATTAATCATGTTTTATTAAGGACAGATCATACTTCCCACCTGCTAGCATCCCAAGACGTGTCTGCCTTTTTAACAATTCTTAAAACACTACTCAGTTTTAGCTAGAGTCTTATAAAATAGAATTTATAGATATGGATATGTGAGTCTTATAAAATATAATTTATAGATATGGATATGTTTTAAATACATAAGATATATGTATTTGTGTATGAGAGAACATGAGTCCCATCTCACTAAAGTAATAAGGTAGATACATATTTGTACATATCAAAAATATTAGACAAGTATGAAATAGAAAATAAATTTGCAAAACTTGAGAAAATTTCAGGAAAACATATGACCAGGATCATTCCATAGTGCAAATTCATCAGCTCTACTTTATCAGCAATTATGCTCTGGCACAACTGAGTGAATGGCACTCTTGAATTCTGCACACAATGGACGGTAAAAGGAAAGGTGGGGGAGACAGAATAGGAGAAATTAGATTGATTTCCTAACTTTCTTACCAATATCTAACCTTCCCATGTAATGCACTGAAGATAGTTCAGTGCTCCATGTAGATGACCCCAGAATATCAATCTTGGACTCAGTTTTCATTCAACATTATGACTCAAAGTTGAAACAGAAAAGCTAAGTGTGTGTGTATATGTGTGTGTGTGTGTGTGTGTGTGTGTGTGTGTGTATAAAACTATATATATAAACTATATATATAGCTATCTATAGATAACTATATAGCTATATATAGATAACTATATATATAGCTATATAGATAACCATATATATAGCTATATATATATAACTCTATATATAGCTATATATAGATAACTATATATACAGCTATATATATAGATAACTATATATATGTAGATACATATATATATAACTAAAACCTTATTCTATTGATGCTACAACCACGTTGACGTTCCCTGCAGATAAGGGTTTTAGAAAAACACTAGAGAAATGCTGACTACAAATGCTGACAACAGAACAAGCCCTACATTGGAAAGTCAGAAGTTTTCTGTATGAGATCATGTGAAACAGAAGGTAGGAAAAAAAAGCTGGAAGATAGAGCTTAGAAGAAAGACCAACACCTCCTCTTTCATAGCTGTAAACAGCAGATAAGGAAGTCTACTTCTTTTGACACACAATGTTCTTTATTTAACATCACGAACAAAAGCTCACAACCTTCCTTGCCCTACCAAGGGACAAACTAAGATGGGATGCTGGGACTGTTTTACAAGTGGTCACATGGTGACTACACAGGTTGCGATTCTCCCCTGTATAGCTGCCTCTTATCTTTTTTTTGCAAGTGTCTCAACCTGGGATGCCTGCAGAAGATTCCAGAAAAGAAAAAGTGAGGAAAAAAAATAAAACCCATGACCACACTGTCTCTCAAAGTCTGTTTGAAGGACATCTGATCCCACTGTGTTTGACACAACCAAACCTATCTCTACTTTGTTCTATTACTCAAAAGGGCCATGGAAGTTGAAGGAAAAGACAAAGTTTCAGTTCTAGAAATGCTACCTTCACTTAATCACATACCCTTCTTTTCTCTGCCTATCTGTTTCTCCCAGAGATAAGTGTTTTATCTGAGTATCTGTTTTAGAAGAGACACTAGGAGGAATTGAGCATAATGATATCTCCCATTAGAAAGGCAGTGTTTGTTACTTGAGTTTGTCACCAACAATGAGCCAAGAGCTGGGAGCTATCTTATTTCTCTTCCATATAAAACTGGAAGAACTGACCCTCAGAGAAATTATAAAACTACATCCTTTGGAGTCCCTCTGGTTATTAACACAGCTGAAATTCAAATTAAGCAAAAGAATAAAGCCAGAATTTGTAGAAACTGAAGAAGAACAGGTTATTTTTAAAAATATATAAGGAATGGGCCAGGTGTGGTGGCTCATGCCTGTAATCTCAACACTTTGGGAGGCCGAGATGGGCAGATAACTTGAGGGCAGGAGTTCGAGACCAGCCTGGAAAACATGGTAAAACCTGGTCTCTACCAAAAACAAAAAAATTAGCCAGGTGTGGTGGTGCGCACCTGTAATCCCAGGTGCTTGGGAGGCTGAGGCACCAGAATCGAGAATCACTTGAACCTGGGAGGCGGAGGTAACAGTGAGCTGAGATCACACCATTGCATCCCAGCCTGGGTGACAGAGCAAGACTCTGTCTCCAAAAATTAAATAAAGAAGAGAAGAGAAGAAATGAAGCTTAACAATTTTTGTGACCCTTATGCAGAACTTTTAAGCATGAGTGTAAGAAAACATCATTTGAACTGGTGGGGAAATTCTGAAGACTCTAATCAGTCTTGACCCTACCACTTCCTCACAGTGATTACTAACTTAAACAGATCAATTCATTATGTCTTGTAGGAAGAAGTCCTTTACCACTGGGATTCAAAGAGATAACAAAAGAGAACAGTCACAACTTTTTTTTTTCCAGTCTATTTTAGGTAAAGCAGTAGAGAAAAGTTTAAAATTGAATAAGAATCATTTTCCTTATTGTATAATTTCTCGGCCTATAAGTTAATTTCTTAAGGAAAATACAATAATTTTACAGGAATTGAGAGTTCCTGGACATTCTTCTTGCTTTATACATTTAAAAATCAAATGTTACTTGTACAAAGGTTGATATCATGATCTTCCTGAGTTATTAGGTCATTTTTTTCCCTCTGGTCTAATTTGTCTTACTTCTCAAATGCACAAACACATTCCCACACTTTCTTGCTGATAAAAGTTTCTGTGAGGCAGCATCCACCTCCTAATACCATCGTCACCACCACCACCACCACCACCACCATCATTACCATCACCACCACCACCACCACCATCACCACCACCACCACCACCACCATCACCACCACCACCACCACCATCACTACCACCACCACCACCACCATCACCACCATCACCACCATCACCACCACCACCACCACCACCATCACTACCACCACCACCACCACCATCACCACCATCACCACCACCACCACCACCACCACCATCACCACCACCACCACCACCACCACCACCACCACCACCACCACCAGGAATAAGACAATTGCTATCCACAGAACTTCTAGCATGTGACTCTTTAAATAGCTGACATCTGGAGGAACTATCTGATACTTGTTACTTACACTCCACTCAGCATGAACGGAGGTTGGCAGAGAATTTAGCAGCACATCTTATTTTTAAAATATCTCACACCTCCCCCTCGCCCTCCCTGCCTTCAAAGAGAGGTTTAAGCAATACACTCTTATTTGCTGCTGTAAGAGCCTACCACCTTCTTCCCAGGCATGCAAGTGCTTTAAAAAGAGGGCCCAAGGCTGTGACCTAATGCCCAGGTGGATCACCCAAATTATTTAAGGACAAATAAGACAGCAGCCAAAATCTCTTGTTTTCAGAGATGAACTAAGAAGTGAACCTTATAAACCTATAATCAGTCAGGCAGCCTTTCTTTCTGTCTCTTTCTGTCACACACATGTATGCATGCACACACACATGTGCACACAGACACACATACACACACACACACTTTAAACATTGCTTAACAGAGGTCTGCCTACTCTTTTATTGTTCTTTTTCCAAAGGAAGATAATTATCAGGTTAAGAGAATTAAGTTGACTTGACAAAATTAATGGGATTTTTAAATTCAATTGTGACCCGAGAGAAAGCCACCTGCTCTGCTTCTGGCAGAACAGGCTGTCCAAAAGATCTCTGTCCCTGTTCCAGCTGCTGTGAAGTCAGATGAACAAATCTCAGGAGATTAATGCTGGGCACTTAACCACTTGGAAAGCCCAAGTCCCTAAAGAGTGAAAGCTGCCTTTGATATTTAGTAGTCTCTCTTTGGGGGGCTCAAAAAGCAAATTAAACTGAGAGAAGCGTGGAGGTGCTAGGGGGCACTCTACTACAGGAAATGGTATTGATGATGTAGCATGGAGCTGGCAGAATTGGGAAGTTCTGTGTAATTGCTAACAATGTGTTAAGTGTTATCACAGAAGGTAGTGGTACCCAACACTGACTAATGACAACAGTAATTATGATTAGGAGTAGTGCTGATAAAAACAATTTCAACAGTTTGAGAATTTTACCTTTGCTTGGAACAACGCACAATATTTTACGCAGTCAAAATCTGTAATTCCTCACAGCATTCCTTTAAGTGGCCAAAATGCTCTTCTGGGGGGTGTGTGTGTGTGTGAGAGAGAGAGAGAGAGAGACAGAGAGAGAGACAGAGAGACAGACAGACAGAGAGAGAGAGAAAGACACACAGAGAGGGAGAGAGACAGAGAGAGAGAGGAGGGATGGACATAAAGAAATGCATTTAATATGGGTAGTAGGCACAGTATTCACCCTGAAGCAATCCTGAGATGAAGTGTTGTTTTTCCCTTTTCCAAGAGTTGGATATAGGATTATCATGGACTGTTTAGTTATGGGTTCCCAGCCTCCCATGGCAAATTTCCATTATTGTATATTCCCAATGATCAAAACTGAGGAAATCTGGCAAAATCACCTTCTTTCCCCAAAACAGAAGATACCAATCTAAGGCAGCACTACCAATCAGCTTATGAGCAGAGACTTAAAATCCATCTTCTAGAGAAGAAAATGTGCTAGATAATGATCACAATTACCATTTTGCTGGCCTTCAGCCACCAGTCTTGATGTGTGACAATTTCAGAGGGCATAATCCTCGCTATGTAGCACCATGTTGAAAATTACACTAAAGCATTTGGAGATAAGCAATGGATAATAAGGATGATAATTAACATTAATTTTTAGAACATTCTGGGTATTACGATTCACATTCTACTTTAAATTATCTCATTTAATGCAACAACTTGCAGTAGCTAAATTTTTTCCCATTTTACAAAGAAGAAAACTGTGGTTTAGAAAGGTAAAACATCTTGCCCAAGGTCACACAGGGATTAAATGGTAGGATTGGAACCCAATATCTCTGGCTCTGGTTGTCATACTCTTAACCCTATACTGCCATTTAAACACTATCTGTAAAACACCAGGCAGGGTAAGCAATCAGTACCTATTAGCTATCATCAGCTAGTATTAGTCCCTGCTAGGAAAATCTGGCCTATTATGGAGAAGGTTTACAGTGTCTCTAGAATACTGTGGAAATGCCTCTATGACGGCACTATGGAGGCTTGCAAACAGTGGAACCAGATGGCCTGGGCCACTCCTGACAGTGTGAGTTTGTGATTGTTTCTGTGCAATGAGTTTAGGAGGACTGAAGAAGAGTTTAATTTCAAAATTGGCTCAGGGAATCAAGGAAAGCTTACAGAAAGAAGAAGTCATTGTGTCGTCTTTAATTGGTCTGTTATGAAAGAAGGAATGCTATTCTCCTTCAATGAAACAAGGCTTAAATCAACACCGCCCTTCCAAGCAATTATGGGAGTTAGCGCAAACTTGCCAAGCAAAAGCACATAAATCAATTGAAAAAAGAGGTAGAATCAGAGACATCTACTAGAAAGGAGGGAAGAAAGGAAGGGAGGGAGGAAGAGTTGGAGGGAGGAAGGGAGAAAGGGAGAAAGGAAGGAAAGAAGGAAAGAAGGAAAGAAGGAAGGGAGGGAGGGAGGGAGGCAGGCAGGGAGGGAAGAAATTGCCTCCCAAAGCATCAGCAGTTTTTTCACTAGTTTCCCCTCTAAAGCCTGTAATGCAAGACATTCTTTTTAATGCAGTTCTTTCTTTTCCTCTCAACTGATGGCAGCTAAAGTGGTCTGAGGCCAGCACAATAATGAACTTTGCCCAGAGAAGAGTCCAACAGTAAGACAGCATCCTCCTTGGCCTGCCCGCATGTTCGTCAGCTGTTCAGCACAATGTCAACATAAGTGAGCAAAGCTTTGGATGAAAGAAACTAGAAATACAATGTCTCCCATTTTTTCTGCTTGAGCCTATGGAGCAGAGTGAAGAGGTGAAATATTTCTTTTCAATGTCTAAATTCATCACAGAAAAGTCACCAAGGAGCTTCATTAAGTGACAGTCTTGTAAATGAGCTGATCTTCCCCACTGCTTGAGACCAAATTGTTCTTTCTTTAACAGATAGCAGATTACTAAAAGCGAGTTTCTGCCATAGAATGCTTAGATTCAACTGAGATTATCAGAATATTCTTGGTTTGTCACTGCATGCCATGCATTCTTGTGGACTGTGTGTTACAGAAGCATGGATCAGCCTAACAATCTCTTCTCTGAGAAAGGCAGAGGGGACTTTTGGAAGATGGCCTTCAGGTTGCCCCAGAGTGTTATGGGGGCACATATTTTTCTCAGACCTTTCTCTTCTTCTTCTTATAGGAAGAAGGGTAGTCAAGAAAAAAATAAGTTAGACCATGGAATGGAAATAATGAGAGATGGATCCATTTGTTTTATTATTTCTCTTTTAGATGCTCTCATGCTGATCAAATAAGAGCTAGTTCATAAGCTGAAACTATGAACTTACAAATGTATTCTACTTAAAGAAACTCCACAATTTGCCTCAATGTTTTGGGCACCCACTTGCTTGATGATATCGTTTGGCTCTGTGTTCCCACCCAAATCTCATCTCAAATTGTAATTTCCACATGTTGGAGGGATCTGGTGGGAGGTGATTAGATTGTGGGGGTGGTTTCCCCCATGCTGTTCTCATGATAGTGAGTGAGTTCATCACAAGAGCTGATGGCTTTAAAAGTGTTTGGCAGCTCCTGCCTCGCTCTTTCTTTTCCTGCCGCCTTGTGAAAATGTGCTTGCTTCTCCTTCACCTTCCATCATGATTGTAAGTTTCCTGAGGTCTCCCCAGACATGTGGAACTGTGAGTCAATTAAACCTCTTTTCTTCATAAATTACCCTGTTTCAGGTAGTATAAGAAGAATAAGAGTAGCAATATAAGAAGAAACTAATACACTTGGTTAGCAAGAAGTCTAATTTTGCCCTCTAGGATGTCCCTCCCTAGTTATTTTCTGTAAAAGTTTTTGGGTGAGAGAGGACCTTCTCGCATATGTCAGATTTCTAGCCTCATGCTCTGGAGGCCACGTATGTCATTGTCCTTGAAAGCTTTTACTGTATTCCCCACAGAACTGGCAACCATACCTAAACTATGGCCGCACAGGGTTCCCTGTCTATCTACGAGTAGTGGTTCAACACCTTCCTCCTGTCAAAACGCAATCCTTTCAGAGCCCTTTCCCACAGAAGAACAGTAAAGACACAAGTGACAGGATTCTTTCTTTTGCAAACAATCTCTTCCCCAAAACACACAGACAAGGCAGGAGAACAGATCTAGGAATGTTCAGAACCAGTTTCAAACTTGACCTGGAACCACCTCCTTCCCTCAACATCCAGGTCACGCTACTTGGTCTAGTCAATGGGTCATGTTGTACCTTCATCCATGGCAAGTTTCCATGAAGAACCCCATTTTCTCTCCTTCTGATGTAAGTTCCTTGGGAGTCTTCAAGTCTTCATACAGATGTGACTGAACCACATAGGTGCCACCTAGACTAATGGATGTGGCTGGGCAACTCTTGAAGTATGTCTTGAATGTTATATTGAAAGTTATGAAGTTCTCCAAATGTTCTAAGAAAGGGAGGAGGCTCATCTTTACAAAACAGAGGGAAGGTATGTTCTAGCTCCACAAGTGAGTGGAAAAATTGTGTTGCTGACTGCCCCAGCCCTCACTCCTCTGTTGTATTTGTCATCACTTTGGAAAGGTCTCATTCGCTGCTTTCAATGTAATACTTAACATTATCCCACTTTTCTCGCACCCTCTGAAATCCTGTTAATTCCCTCTTAGATCTGAAACAGTTTCTAAAGTACTATCCCTACCCACCTCCCACCACCACCCCCCCAACAAACATCCTCTCTTTTAACATCTGATCTCCTCCAAATGGATCTTTAGAAAGCCATATATGCAAAATGGACATTTTACTGAGCTTTAATCATTGGCATGACAGAATGAAACAAGATGTCAACTACAAGATCTGACAGAAATAAGAAGAGGAAAACTCTTTTCCATATAAATATCCCTGGCAATTAAAAAGGAAAATGACATAAATAGGGTGAAAAACAAATGAAAAGTAAATAGATTCCAGTTGTAAGGCTGATATGTCTGAAAGGTTTTCTCTTGAGGAGGATCCTCTATTAAGATCTTGGAAGATAAACTCGATTTCTGGTTATTATGCATTAGTGTTATGCCAATCACCTTGACATTCAGATACACCACCCTTGAAAGAGGTGGAATTGGAGGCATCTGATTAACCCGTCGGAATGTACAAGAACTTTAAGTACAATAGGATATTTAACTGTCAACTAAAGTAACTATCTTTAATTTTGTAGAAAGGATTAGCTACTTAGTGTTCTAGATAAAGGTACTATCAGAAAGAGAAAAATGTAACCTGGGGAAGATAGGAAGACCTTATTTCTACAAAAAATAAAAAATTGGCTGGGCATGGTGTGCCTGCAGTCCCAGCTACTTGTGAAGCTCAAGTGAGAGAATTGCTTGAGCTCAGGAGATCAAGGCTGCAGTGAGCCATGATCATGCCACTGCATTCTAGCCTGGGTGACAGAGCAAGACCCTGAAAAAAAAAAGAAAAGAAAAGAAACAAAAAGAAAAGAGAGAATAAAAGAGAGAAAAATGGGGGTAATAGTGCAATGAACCTGACAATTTCTCATTTTCAAATATCCCATTAGTTTTTCTCCTATCACCCGTCACTTAAAAATGTGCTCTCCCAGGTCTGAGCTCTATCCTCAATGGTATTGTTCACCACCTGTGAATCCTCCCATGGATTCAGCTACTTCCTCTAAGTGGAGGAACCCCAGATCTATATCTGTGATGTCATCCAATAATCCGAACCATAACCACCTACTGGACCTCTTTCTACAGATGATCCAAACTCATCATTTTCCTTATTACTTTTCACTCCTCATTTTACCCCTACTTATTGTACGTTGTATACTGTAGTTAATGACATCATAATTTTTCCATTTATTCAGGCTCAAAATTCTGAAGTCATTTCTTGAAAGACGCCCTTCCCTCTCCCTATCTAAACTAGAGAAATGACTATCTCCACAGCATCATTCAGCTCGGCCCCTGTTTCCCATTCTCAGAGTGCTGTTCATTCCCTAGTACCTCTTTGAATGAATACAATGGCATACTAATGCAGTTCTTAGCTGCCAACACTGTTCTCGAATAGGGCCTGCTACATTTCCCCGGAGAAATCTTCCTAATGTGCAGCCCACATAATTTCACTGCTTTGCACAAAATCCTTCAGTGGCTACTTATTTCACACCTATGGAAAGTTCTAACTCTGCATAATAGTATTCAAAATCCTCTACAAACTAGCCCTGTCCTATCATGTCAGCTGTAGCCTTCACTCTAACCCATCCCTCATACTCACTACCAGACCTTTAACAAATCACCATTTCCCTGAACACACCTGATGTCATTTTTCCCATTTTTATTTTTGATTGAGTTACTGAAACTTACTATTTGATGGACATTGTGTCAAGTACCAAGGTGTCAAAAATAAATAAAATGATTCTTTCTTTTAAGTCATGTTGTCTATCAGATATTCAAATTTCAAAAATCTCTCAAAGACTTATTTAAATGCCACCACTGCATGAAATTGGATCAGAATTCCTGATTAGAGTTTCTCTGTCCTGTGTGTTACCAAGGCACTGTCTACTTCTGGCATAGTATTTTTACATTCTGTCTTGGATATATAATTATTGATAGGTGTGTTATTTCCTTCACTAGATTCTTGAATGTTGCATGGTATGCAAACAGGGAATGGGCTTCTGAGAGATGAATCTGGGATTATTTCCTGGTTTTTACCACTAACCAGTGAGTTCTTTAACTGCTTTGTGTCTTGGCTTCCTTACTGTAAAAATGAGATAATAATACTCATAGTGACTTGTGAGAATTAAACAAGCAAAGGTTTGTAAAAGCTCTCAGCATATCATAGAGACTCAATAAATACTAGTTTTCCTCCCTCTTTCCTTCTCTGAGGACAAGAATCTTACAATTTAGGATGAAAATTTAATAACATCCATCCTTGTCACATTGTTCACATTTTCTCTATCTTTTCTTTCAGTGTAAGCAAACTCTACCTTTCATGTTCCCAAAGCCTACATCATATTTCTCTCCTTCACATTGCCTAGTCTCTGTAGTCCAATTATATTACCTCATTCACTCATTTATTATTCATTTACTTAGTTCTGACTTTTTGCTAAGATTTTCTGGAATACACACTTACTATTTTTACTATATATTTAGAATTCCTCTATCTTTTAAAATAAAACAAATTTCTGTTTATGTTTGCATGAAGGAAATATTCACATGTCACAGTTCTGCTTATTAACCCCAGCTGGTAGCACTTACAGATGAGTGACTTGACAGCTCTCTGTATACTGATTGGTTATTAGTGCATAAGCACCATTTTTTAATAACCAGATATGTTAGCATAAGAACATTAATAATACAGGTATATACTTTATGAAAAGCTTATAGTCATTTATTATTTCAAAATTTAACAACGAAACATTTTTATAGTCAAAGATTCCCCTCTGCTGCTAGGCAGGTACACTGGGTTAGATATTCTCACTTTCATCCCAGATTCACTTCCTTTCCTTCTCTGCCCACTAGAAAGGCTGACTGCTATAAGCTGTATAGATCACATCATAAGACTGTCTTTTTCCTCTGGCTTCTTGTATATTTTGGCAGTGGAGAGCTCAATAAGAGAAACATTGGGCATTTATTCATTCTTCCTTCCAGAACCCTCCCTGATGTGTTATGAATGTGCCAGTAGCTGGGTTATTTTATTTAGGACCAAAGTGATAACCGAGTTGCCTCTCTCACAAGGTTGCAACACCAGCCATGTTCATGGAATCCAATTGTCTTCTGTGGCCATTCAAACCTAGGGACAATTGAGACTTTTCACATTTTCTCATCCCTAAGTGTTTCACCAGCACTTGCTAATTTTCTTACCTGGGAAATAAATCCCTTCATTAGTTTCTCTTCATGTAACCATTTTGTGTATGCCTTCTTTCCTTTGGGACCCTGATTGCTATGCCCCTCCCACTTCCAAGTTTTTGTTTTGTAACTCTCCTTGGTCAGTCAACATCACTGAACATTCATGTGCCAGACACAGTTTTGTAATGAGTACCCCCATTTTTATAAGAGATAATGTATTTTTTCTCTTTTCTTTTTTCCCTACTTCCTACTTAGCTCTTTAGACATGCAATTATAACCTTTTACCTTCCTTTTTCCAGACACTCCCTACAGGGCAAGTTCATCTAACTATGTGCTTAGAAGCTCCAGAGCAGAACTCCCTCTCACCAGGAGATCACCTCGAGAGACAACAGTCAATGTACAACCTGAAGTGCCTGCTACAAAACTGTCTCCCACCAGGAGAGTTTTGGCCACGTTTACAACCTAGTTCTGCCCATGAAGGCACCAGCTGTCACCAGCTCAACCACGCAGTAGATTAGGCACTGCAGTGAGTTACATGACCCCACCTGCATTTCCCTCCCCTGTGAGCCATTCATGCCAAGATGCCTTTTAAAAGTGCCTGCTTTCTGCTCCAAAAGTAAGCAGTACTCTTAAGGCAGGAAGCCTATACTTCTTCCCTTAAGCTAGCTTTGGAATAAAAAGTCACTTTCTTTATACTAGAACTTGCTCTTGTGAATTGGACTCGGCAGGTGGCAAGTGACTGAATCTGCATTTTGGTTACAGTATAAGGCATTGGCGACTCACTGACAAACAAGTTGCACTTCCTGAAGAGAGTGTGCAACTATGGTCCACTGAAAGAGACATCCAGAAAGGTATGCAGTTATGGCTCAGTGTGATAGGTGCTTCAAAAAGGATAAAGAAGTCCCATGGGGACACAGGAAAACTAGAAGGACTACAGGGGATGGGGGAGCAGGAAAGCTGGGGGGCCAGAGGTATATTTCAGAGCAATTAGAACAGAAAGACAAGTATAGTCTGTCCACGGAAATGGCAGCAAACAGGGAAGAGAGAACAGCTAGAAGGCATTTCAGGAAGGGGACCCAGCATGGGCAAAGTCCTGGAGTGGAGCCACAGTGCATTCTTTGTGGGAAATTGTAAGTCATGGGGTATGGCTAGAATCTGTGTGGGGGCATGAAATGGGATAATGCTCAAAAGGAAGGGAGAGCAGATGAAGAAGGGCCTGGAAAATCATAACACATTTGTATTGTAAGCCGAGGTCATTGAAGGGCTGTCTGGAGGGTTTTAAGTGGAGGCAGAAATGTTATCATATGTGGACTTCAACTGAACATGGCGGTTCACGCCTGTAGTCTGAGCTACTTGGAAGCTAAGGCAAAATGATCACTTGAGCCCAGGAGTTCAAGGCTGCTGTGAACTATGATCGTACTGGTGCCCACCAGTCAAAGAAAGCTCACTCTAGGGACTGAATACTTCAGAAGCATTTGTAAACATCACAAGCTATGAGAGAGGGTGATAGATAACAAGTGGTGAAATGTGAATTTAGAGTGTTTTTTTTTTAATTTTTTTATGAAGGCCAGTAAACACACACAATGTAAGGTCTTGTGATGCAGAAGAATAGAGGTGGAAAAACTCCTGGGTTTTGAAAAGGTTAAGGACATTAGCCCAAAAAGCAACATAAATGCATGTTAAAAAATAAAAGAAGCTTTCTCATATAAACAAAACTTCATAAATTACATACATAATGTGTATGTATACAGTCTAGGAAATGATTTCAATGAAAATAAAAGAGAATAAGACAACTACCTAGCTTTTGGCTGTTTCCATTTTAAAATAAGATTGGGAAAGGTATAAGGGGAAAATATTTATTTTTGAAATGTAGAAAAATAAGGTGATAAATTTCTGCCAGGGAAAATATGTGCAGGGAAACTTGTTGCTCTTTCTTTGCTGAAAAAGACCTGCTGTGGCAAGTTCCACAGATGGAAGAGTTTGATTAGTTTTGGGAAAGTGGACTTGTGAAGTGGGGACATGAACAGATTGTTCTATTACTGCCTGTTAGTATGGCAATGCATATTTTGCTAATTTTCACTTAACCTCTTCTTGATTTAGTGGCTGTCAATGACAGAAGTGAGAAATAAGACTGCAGGACTTACTTAGAAGCCACATTTTTCTTCTGGTCCATAAACTGTGAATCTTTGGTAACGCATCTTCCATTGGGATAAAGATATTTAGGTAGCAGGGGGTGGGGAGTGGTGGTAAATGAAAAGTGTAGAAGGGAGAAAAAAGAGATAATATAATGAAATAGTATTATGTAACACATCTAACTTGGTTTTTCCTTTTTCTTTCCTTTACAGTATGGTTTGCAAAACCAACGACCCCAGAGGTCAAGCAGGTAATGCAAATTCATGGGCTGGGTTTACAAATTCTGGTGCTCAAGCATTTTCATATTTGGTTGTTATTACTAGAACTGGCAGTTGGCTTTGGTGTTAGTGGGATGATAGGCAATGGTGGGGACTGTAAATACCCAAAGAATGTCCAAAACAATCACTAATAATCACTAGCAAATTTTTTGCTACATGGGAATGCAAGTCTAGTATTGCAATGTCTTCTGATTTGCCAAGAGTAGCTAATAATTTTCATGGACAGCTCATTTTTATCTACACTATTCAATTTTAAAATGTTGTCTCAAAAAGTTTTTAACCTTGTTGCAGGGAAAACAAAACTCATCATCTGTAAACCTGATCCAGTTTTGCTTTATTCTGATTTTTGCCATTAAACTTTAAACAGAGTTAACTTGTATCTTGCACTTTCTAAAGGCCTCTAACTTCTTTCAAAACACCTGACATTTAAAGAAGGCCATGATGTGAGAAGAGAGAGAAGTGTGTGTGTGTGTTAAAAAAAGGCTGTTCACATGTTTGGAGATCACAAGGGAAGGGTGAGGTTTATGCTAGATAAAGACAAGGCTGGATTCCACTGGATGGAGAGGATCGGCTAGCATCCAGGCATACAGAATGTAAGCAGAACCTCGGACAGAGTCAATGCCACCACAATTTGTACCAAACAATTCCACTAAGGGTATTGTATTTAACTCCATGTAATCGCTCCATGAGTGAGGGAAGAAAGTATGTGGAAAATCTTGGAACTGGGAATAGGTCAGTCAGGCTAGATTAGAAATCTGAGCTTTCCAGGCCAAAATTATCCCTGGCTAGGCCAAATGGCTTTTAGCCTAACAAGGAATGGAAGTAATTCAACTCCCTTTGCAAAGTTGGTTATTTTGTTCCAGCCATGGGAATATGCTACTTTGTGAAAAGTGTCCCTTACAGTGTCAATTCCAACTATGGAAAAATATAAGGAATAGGAAAACTACATTGAAGTGCCCACACTATAGTGTTCCAGCAATATTTCTTTTTGGTTTGTTTTCCTCTTCTGGTTTTTGTGAAATGTTTTCAGAGGCAGAGCCATCACTTTCCAATAGAAATGGCATCTTTATGAAGAAAAACCTGAGTAGAATCTAAGGACCTATGACCCTTGACACCTTACCAAACACGCGCCTGTACTCCTTCCTCTTTCCCTTTTTTCTTCCTTTAAAAACAATTTATGTGTGTTTCTGTGTGATGAACAGTATCGCAGTGATTATTTTTTAAAAAGGACTCTGGCCTCCTTGCAGACTAGTAGAGGAGGAAGAAATTGAAATAAACAACGGAAAATCAGTGGATGGAATCTATAATGCAATGTGTGCCAGGAGTGCTTGCAACAAAAATGAAACTTATCATCAGAAACAACAATATTTTATTCTATTTATTAGGGATTTATTATGTTCCAGGCACTGTGGGTTGCATGTAACAGAAATCACCTCGTTTAGTCATCAAAATAGTTAAGACGTGATAATTTACTGTTTTACTGATAAGGAAACTGAGGCTTAGGAAAGATGAATATCTTGACCATAATTACATGAGAACTCATTCATTCTTTCTTCTCTCTCATCTCGCTTTTTTCTCTCTCTTCTTTTTCCTTTCCTCTGTCTTCTCTCTCTCTCCCTACTCCTCTCTTCTCTCTCTCCTTCTCTTCCCATGGTCTCTCCCTTTCTCTTCCCATGGTCTCTCCCTGTCTCTCTGGATTCTGAGGAGTCAATGACATGAAGTATGCAAAGCATGGTGCATAGAGTGTGGCAACATCATAAAGTCACAATAAATGGTGGCTGTTATTACTTGGCCACATCAAGGAAGGCTGTTCAGGGGCAGCAGTGCTGGAACTAGAGATTGAAAGATGCTTAGGTCAAGTAGCTGTGACATTTTTCATTTCATTTAATATTTATTAGGAACCCTGTGAGATGGGCATCATTAACCTCACCTTTCAAAGGAGGAAACCAAAGCTCAGCAAGTTTAAATAACTGTCCCAGGGCCAAAGAACTCGCAGGCTGGAGACTTGAGACTGGGACCCAAGAATCCTAATTCAAAAGCTAACCTCCTTCCACTGTTATATCCTGCCTTGATGGCTTTTAGACTCGACAGTTGAAACCTCTAATCCTTTAGTGAAAATAGAGCGAAACACTGAACAGATATCGGCTTCTTGTTAATCCTTATTCCCTAGAGTTTAAGTGTTCCCTTGGAGACTTAAAAGATACATACAAATGAGTTGAAATCATTGCCTATTCAGTAATGCCTCCAATATACGCTTATATCTTCTCCAGTAACTGAAATAATTATATAAAAGAAAGGAAGGAAAAAGAAACCTGGTGCAAAGAATGGGTTTGCAGGAAGGTCTTCTTAATGAGCTCTCCTCAGCACATCTTGTTGTCTGCAAAGGAAAGGTGTGAACAGAGCCAGTACAGATCTAGCACTAAGAATTAGTCCAACTTGCTCCTATCAATTACACTGAATTTTCTGACAAACCTCTACCGCTCATGGGAAATTTCCTGACAGGATGCTAATAAATCTACCTAACCTTGTCACCCCCCACCAATATGCCAAATTTGCAGCATTCAAGATAAATAACGTTCACGCGTTATGAGGCTGAACTGGACTTCTCAGAATTTCCATAAGGCTGTGGCAGGTTAATGATAGAAAAGTTTTTTTATGTGTGTGTCCAGAATGTAAAAGAAAATGCTCATCTTCTGAAAAGCACAAATCGGCAGGCAAAGTGTTTTGCTTCTGGGCCCATTTTAGATGTCAGGGAGCATAGGATTGAGGAGGATCAGGTCACATCCATGTGCTTATCTGCATAGTACAGTACCACATTGGAGGAGTATGCAGAGAACAATATAGAGGACTGGAGAGAGACTCTTAGAAACTTCAATGCCTAGATCTTGGGACTGACCAGTCAATATCAAAGATGACTATCGGCAGGTTTTCTTTCTACCCAAATCATTAGTTGCAGAAAGAAAATCATCAAACGATAGAGCCAGGATAATTGTGCAAGGATAAGGATGATTACTGGGTCCTTGAAGAACAAGTAGCTTTGTTTGGTGATGTTCCTAAGCGAAACACCGTAGTTAATGATAGTGTGGCATATCTGCTAAAAGCTGGGATCTGGAGCCTGAGAGCAGGGGTTCAGATTTTTTTTGTCACTTGGAAATTTTATAATATGATAATAATATAGCCATGTACTACATAATGACATTTCCATCAATGATAAACTGCATATATGATCATGGTCCCATAGGATTACAATACCATGTTTTTGCTATCCCTTTTCTATGTTTAGATATATCCAGACACACAAAAAACTTACCATTGTGTTACAAATGCCTCCAATATTCAGTACAGTAACATGCTGTATGAGTTTATAGCCTAGGAACAATAGGCTGTACCATATAGCAACAGGCTATATCGTCTAGATTTGTGTGAGTACACACTATGATTTTGCATAACTACAAAATCACTTAAGGACACATTTCTTAGAATGTATCCCCATCATCATGAGACATGTGGCTATAGTACAGATTTCACTGGATTGTTTTACGCATAGGATTATGACAACGCACATAAAGCACTCTGCATCCAGTTCAACACATAGTAAATGCTCAAAAAAAAGATTCCTTTTATATAGGTTACACTCTTAGTTAATACCCTGCTCAGGTATTGAATCCCCCATGAAGCCTTGACCTCCTCCCAAATCTAGCTGAGCCAGTTGCTTATCTGCTGTATTTGGATGCTGTCCTATGTATGATTCTATCACAACACAGAAAATTATATTATAGATGACATCATTGCATCTGTTTCCCCTAGTAGACGGTGGAATCCTTAAAAGAATCTGAATTTTTACATTGTATTTCTTTGTTTTAATCTCGCATATCTATATAGTACCCAGTACATGGGAAGTCATAATAAATGTTTGCTGAATCAGTATATGAATGCATTATCTCATTTTGTTCATCTGAAATACAGGAAAGATGAATGCTTAAACTTCTAGGTGGAAAGGCCAATTGAATAAATGGTTAATTGTGTCATATTAATGTCAATTAATATTCTTCTGGGATTTTGTTTTTCTCAGTGAAACTATGGGAAGGAAGAGTTCTTAAGGTCCTGTATGTTAGTAGCATAATTGCCAGCAGCAGATGTACTGTTGGCATGATACACTGTAAAACAGCCTCCACTGTTATGCCTCAGCATAGAACATATGTAATGAATGAACTGCAAGTTCCTTCTTAAGAATCTTCCAGGCAGATGCTGTAACAGGATCCTTGGGTTGTGCAGTCCCAGCAGAATCTGACTGATGGAGCTGAATGAGACTTTAGCCCTCAGGTTGTCTGCCTCACACTTCCTAATGACCTTATCAGAAGACCCAGAGAGGAAAAACACAGAGCTGAGAGCAGATGCCATTAGTACACTTAAGCAAAATTGCAGTTACCTCTGGAGAGGGCATGATAAATACTCTCCTCGCTGGAGGTAACAACCCTCACTGCAGCTTTAGGTCCAGGGTAGAGTAAGTAAACCTACTAATGGAACCCAGAGGGTAGCCAATTAAAACACGCCACAAAGCTACTGCAATTATTTATTTTAGAGGTCTCTAACATTTAGCAGGAGCAGGAGACAGTGAAGATTCTAGGCTCAGAAACACACTCCTTTGAGCCAGCATGCATGCTGAGTGGCCCAGGACTCCTGTTTTCTGCCCTTAGCTTGGCCTCAGATCTGGCTTGCCTACTTCATACACTAACTTCTCCAGCTGATCTTCTAGGATCTGAGCTTTACCTCTCCATGAGTATAGAATCCCAAAAAGCTAAGAGCCCAAGTTTTGTAGTCAGATAGACCTGGGCTTGAATCACTGGCTGTGTTACCTTATACACGTTACATGACTTTTATGAGTCTTGTTTTTCTCATCTGATAAATAGGTGCTAATTACAGTGATTTACCTGATAGGGTTGTTTTGAGCATTTAATTTTTTTTTTTCTGAGATGGAGTCTGGCTCTGTCACCCAGGCTGGAGTGCAGTGGCGTGATCTCTGCTCACTGCAACCTCTGCCTCCTGGGTTCAAGTGATTCTCCTGCCTCAGCCTCCCGAATAGCTGGGATTATAGTCACCTGCCACCACGCCTGGATAATTTTTGTATTTTTAGTAGAGATGAGGTTTCACCATGTTGCCCAGGCTGGTCTTGAACTCCTGACCTCAAGTGATCTGTCTGCCTCAGCCTCCCAAAGTGTTGGGATTACAGGCGTGAGCCACCATACCTGGCCAGCATTTAATTTTCAACATGAATGTAAAGCATGTAAAAGTTTCTGGTACAAGATAAATCCTCAAGTAATATTACCTTTTGTTGCTGTTATTGTTGTTTTCATTACTGTAGCCATTTGAATTTGCCACTGATATGGTTTGGCTGTTTCCCCATCGAAATCTCACCTTGAATTGTAATAATACCCACATGTGAAGGGTGGGGCCAGGTGGAGATAACTGAATCATGGGGGCAGTTTCCCTCATACTGTTCTCGTGGTAGTGAATAAATCTCATGAGATCTGATGGTTATATAAATGGGAGTTCCCCTGCACAAGTTCTCTTGCCTGCCGCCATGTAAGATGTGCCTTTGCTTCTCTTTTGCTTTCCGCCATGATTGTGAGGCCTCCCTAGCCATGTGGAACTGTGAGTCCACTGGACCTCTTTCCTTTATAAGTTACCCAGTCTTGGATATGTCTTTTTTAGCAGCATGAGAACAGACTAATACAGCCACCTTGGCCATGATTCTCTTTTTGATGAAACTAAGCTACATAGTAACTCACTCTGGAGGACTATGTGGCTTTCTGATGTTGGTCTTTCTTGATCTTTCCTAGGCTATTTTTCATCTTGTCCTATCTCAGAGTTGCCCTCTAAACCTGACCATGTGACACTACCAACCATAAGAATACTGATCTGGTAAATAGCAACTATTTTAACTACAGGTTCTTTGGAATTTGTGTCATTCCTCCAAGTGAATTCAGATGTGATTTAAACAAGAGGCTGTGGATGTTGCAAAGATAAAGATATAAAGGGGGAAGGACACATACATGCACACACACATACACACCCAAACACACTTTTAAATTGTATTGCATAGACCCTATTGGGGAAAACAAGATATCACTTCTAGATTCTGCACCTGCATGGCATGGGTGTAATGAAAATGCCTGTCAGGGAAAGTAATGTGTTTAATATTGTCCTAGTCTTAAACATCAGCAGAGATTTCTGTGCATTGCAAATAATTCCAACACCTGTCCATATTACACTGCTCTGTGTTTTATCTGCGGTGGGATGATATCAATATGTCAAGCATGAAAAAAAGGATGTTTTATGAGATTGATGTAGGGGAGCACAAAGACAAGCACATAAAAAGGGCAGCCAAAGATGCCACAAAGTTGTCAGAAGAAAAGGGCATGATCTCTCACTGGTGTGCATTGAGTTTATTCTTTTCTCACCAAGTGTCCAGAGACTGTCAAGGATGCTAGTGGCCATGATCAAGGATTTTAAAGAAGACAAAACAATGCTGATTAGAAAAAGCCTTTCAGCAAGCTGTGAGTACCTGGGAGATGAATAACAGATAAAGGCTGTTAGGGACCATAAGGGAAACTAACATAAGAGTATTCCAGGGTGAATTAGTGAGCGATTCCCAAGAGAGGCTACCTTTGCAAGGTAACAGGGAGGAAAACTTCTTTGGGGCCTGAAGCATGGTTGCTGGGGTGGGGGCAGGAGTGCATTTTTCTATAAGGAATACATTTGCATATGGAGAAGAAAGAAGATGGTCTTCAATCAGATGGATACCATTCTTATGAAAGTAAAATTTAAAAAGAAGACTTAGAGATTATTTTTGGGCATACTATAATTGCATATATATATATTTGTATGGTACACAGTGATGTTATATCTGTACAGTATAGAATGATTAACTCAAACTAATTAATATATCCATTTTCTTAAATACTTATCATCAATTCCTTCTAACTAAAATTTTTTACCATTTGACCAACATCTCTCCATTCCCCCTACCCACTACTTCTGGTAACCACTATTCTATTCTCTGCCTCTATAAATTTGATTGTTTTGGATTCCACATAAGTGAAACTATGCTGTTTTAGTCTTTCTGTGTCTGGCTTATTTCTGAACTTAGCACAATGTCCTCCATGTTTATCCATGCTGCTGCAAATGGCAGAAATTCTTTCTTGTTTAAGGCTGAATAATATTCGATTGTGTATATACCACATTACTACATTCTCTTCATCCATTTATCCTCTGATGAACACTTAGGTTGACTCTTTATCTTGGCTATTGTGAATACTGCTGCAATGAACATGAGAGTGCAGATATCATTTAGACACGCTGATTTCAAGCTCTGGGGATATATACCCAGTAGTGGGATTGCTGAATCATATGGGAGTTCTATTTTTAGTTTTATGAGGAATCTCCATACATTTTCCATAATTAAAGATATTTTTTCTTAATCTTTACTCTTAGTGCCCACTTTTGGCCTTTGTTACCTCTTCTCTACTTTTTTTGTAATAGCCTCTAAGTGATCTCCTTACCTTTTGTTTCCTTCTCCTTTATTTAATTCTGTATGACCAGTGGTTCCCTATTGCCTTCTGAGAAGAGTCTCAGATCCTTTATCCAGAATTAAAGGCCCCAATCTATCTTCTCATTGTTATTATCCACTATTTCTTTATGTACAGTAGTTCCCCCTTCTCCACGACTTTGCTTTCTGCAGTTTCAGTTACCCTTGTTCAACCATGGTCCAAAAATAAGTGAGTACAGTACAACAAAATATTTTGAGAGGGAGACTATAATACATTCACATTGTTTGTATTACAGCATGCTGTCATAATTTTCCATTTTATTATTAGTTATTGTCATTAATCTCTTACTGTGACTAATTTACAAATTAAACCTTATCATAACTATGTATATACGCATGTATGTATGGAAAAAACATAGTATATATAGGGTTTGGTGCTATCCACAGTTAAAGGCAACTACTGGGGGTCTTAGATCATTTCCCCCATGGAAAAGTGGGGGCTTCTGTACACTAATAGTTATTTGGCATCCAATAGGGCCTGGACTGGATATGGGATATCTCTTGGCAAAGCAAACATCTTGCAGTAACTTTGAAATTGGTCCCAAATAACACAAAGAAATGCTAGCTATGACATTCTTTCTCTGGATCTGTTGCTAGGGGCTCCTGGAGAAAAGATCACCCAGTTCTCCAAATTACACATAAATAATGGAAACACAACATGAATAAACTTTTCACTCAGTATTTGGAAAGTTTGTCTAGAAACCACCTGCCTTAGAAGCCGCTGGAATGCCTTTTTAAAAATGCAGATTCTTGACCTAATTCTAGACCTACTGATATTATAGGATCTTTGTAAAAAAGAAAATTAAGATACATTAGTAATATAGTAATATTTACACATTTATTCCATGATATAAATAAATATTATATGTGTGTGTGTGTAATGTATCACATCACAGCGCTTGACCTTGGAACGTACAAGACTTCCAACTAGTGATAACTATTAGACCGAACAACTGTTTTTCAGGTTCGCCTTCTCTCCTGGGCCCTAGATCCATTCAAGCAAGTTTCACTCCTCAAGTGCCTCACATCCTACATGGGAGAATATGTCTCTATAGGGATAGATAAATAGATGGGTAACTGTTAAATGTATACACAAATAACTTAATGATTAATATTGTGGGCATGTAACTAATCTAAGTATTTATACACGCAATATGTCTACAACCAGAACTAACTACATAATTTGTGAGGCCTAGTATTAAAAAAGTGAGTCCTTTTGTTTAAAAAATATTAAAACTTTCAAGGTGGTGATAGGAGAGCATTAAACTAAGCACACCCGCTTGTAAGTCCAGGACCCCCATGCACCTGAACTCATCTGTGATGTATATAATGTTCTTCCTATATTTATCATTCCTCCCATACTTATCTATTTCTCTGATCCCTTTGTATATAATCTGACTCTACTATCAAGCTTGGATTTAAAAATACCTCATAATTAAAAACCATATCATTTTAGCACTTTTGATTATTTTCAGAGCATTATCATAAACCTTCACATTTAGTCATCACAGTGTTCCCATGAGGCAGACTCAATTATTACTCCCATTTCACAGATAACTAATGCTCAGAGGTTAATGGACCTGTGCAAGATCACAAAATCATTAAGAAACAGAATACGGATTTTAATCCATGAATAAAATCTTAGTGTCCTTAATTCAAATCTCATACTATTTCCTTCAAACTGCATTTGACGGTATTTGCAATAAGCTTCTCCAGGGTAGGGTGGATGAGTTGTATCTCTTTGCTTCCCCATCTCTTAACACATGGACCATAATAGGTATTCAATAAAGATATATGAAAAAAGAGCATTTCTTCTTGGAGTAAAGGAGAAAAGGCCCAGTGTCTCTTCTGATTTCCAAGAGACAAGGGAAGGAGCCAAAGCATTCCTCTTACTAGGTGACCACCCAGCCCTGCAGCCAAACTCCATGCCTTCCACAGCATATCACCTAAGATAATCCACCTGTCCCCCGCAACCAACCCTGCACCCCACTGTTGGTTGTATTCATTTGCATTTTTCCAGGTTGTGTTGAATTTTTATAGCTCTGTTTCTAATATCCCCAGCTAGCCATCATCTCCCCTGTACCGCCAAATCTGCTCATTTTAATCTTAAATGTATCACTATAGCTAGCTATTAGGTCCTTACAATACTTTAAATAGAAACTGGGCAAGCTCTGATCCTTTTTTAAAAACATGTGTCTGCCTCTTATCCAATCAATTCATTGCTATTCTCTTTTCCCTTCTTCCAAATTCCTCTACTGCAACAAAATGTTGAGACATAAGTTGATTTTAATTAACTTTTCAAGCTTTCTCTAAAGTTAGGCAAAACATTACAAGTAAAAAAAAAAAACACCCTTGTGACACCATACAGTATAATTAGTGTGCAGTGGTTTATATATATGTACATGTTTGCAAGCAGTGAATTTTTTTAACAGAAATAAATGACGGAGGAAGAATCTTAATTCATGTCATTTTATAATATGCAGATCTAACACACTTTTAAAAATATATATATTTTTAGAGAGGGTCTTACTCTATCACCCAGGCTAAAGTGCACTGGCACAATCTGGTTCACTGCAGCCTTGATCCCCAGGTTAAAGTGATCCTCCCACCTCAGCCTCCCTAGCTGCTGGAACTACATGCGTGTGCCACCATGCCTGGCTAATTATAAAAATTTTTGTTTTAGAGACAGCATCTCACTATGTTGCCCAGGCTGGTCTCCAACTCTTGAGTTCAAGTGATCCTCCCACCTCGGCCTCCCAAAGTGCTGACATTATAGGTGTGAGCCAGCATGCCTGGCCAGATCTAACACACTTCAATAAGAAGTAACCTCCATACAAAAAATATATATTTTTCTACCCTGAGATATAATTTCTCTACCCTGGGGAATGGTTAATATTCAGTTTAATGCTATCACCTATGCTGATAGAAAGAAGAGCTCTCATATACTTGAAAATTTTCTTCTAAGATATTGAGAAATTTGTGTATTAAGGGAAATTTATAATAATAGTGTCTAACGCTTATCAGCAAATTATGATTCATATATACATACATATACATAAATGTATGTGAACATATGTACATATACACACACATAAATACACATACATATATATATATACCTACCTATATACACCATATAAATATTTAATGCCTAGAAATACATCATTGAGTACTTTCTTGTATAAGTTTGTGAGAACGTGAAGGTGAGTGGAAGTGTGTGTATTGGGTGTCTGGATTTGAAACTACTTTGGAAAGCTAACATCTCTGGTTTATAAATATAACTCATTTTTCACAGCTTCAGCCAGATTTTCTCATGGCATTGTGAGAAAATATCAATAAAGTGTAATTATTCTCTTGCTGGACCTTATGTGCAGTAAATTTCCAGATAACCAAATTTTATACAAGTTGAAAATGTCAGAAGGAACATTATTTTGGAGGATCTGGTGTTTGGGGTCTTCAGATAATAATTAGATATGTTAATTCTCTACAGAATCAAAAGATCTTCTGAAGAGAATCTTATTACTGAATTTCAAATGATCTTAGGTAATTCTTTTTTTTAACCCAATGCACTTATGAGAGAAATCTAGTGATGATGAGTACAATCTTTACTCAGAGTCATTCATTACAGATTTACACATCCATACCTAATCATT
The DNA here is from genome assembly GCF_000001405.40 of Homo sapiens. Lineage (NCBI taxonomy): Eukaryota > Metazoa > Chordata > Mammalia > Primates > Hominidae > Homo > Homo sapiens. The sequence goes on along the minus strand of NC_000014.9, from coordinate 79,235,774 downwards.
TTGCTTCATGATTATCTTTCAATAAGGCTTGAGTAAATCAACTCTGGATTAAAGATTCACTGTATGTCTTTACTTGTCTCCTGATCTATGCTTTTCCTTTCTATAATTATTTTTCTCTGAGTGAACTTTTTTACTCAAACACAATCTGTGTTGACAATGTCCTAACTGTAGAGAGAGAATGCAAGTGAATAGGTGACAGGAAGGCAAGTGCAAGAATGCAAGACTGACAGAATTAATTCAGAACCAGTCTGTGAATGGGATCATAGACACAGATGTAAGGTGTGGGTTAGAAATGAGGGCACCTTCTTTCAAGTCACTAGGAGGCATTTGCCCAAAGGTCAGACTTTAATCCACACATCATTCACTCTCTGGTGGAGGGAAGTAATAGTCATTTCAATTATCCAGGCAGGATCAGAGAGGTTACTTGTTGGCCCAAATCTCACAGTAAGCCAAAAAGAGATAAAGGTTGCTTGACCCTATAACCAGTATTTTCCTTTTATCATACTTGACTGTCACATAGTTTTTATGTTACACTCAGAAGTAGGTTTTCTCCCCTTTCTTACACAAATATAGGTATGCTGTCTTTCACATGACATGAGACATGCTCTGAAAAGTTGGATATGAATTGATCTCTCATAAATCAAATACTGAAGAGAAGACTAACAGAACTGGCAGACAAGGGATAAGGGGGAATTCATTCAATTTCAAGTTCTAAAAACATACTTAATGTATTTTCAAAAAAATATCAATGTTTTAAAAATTATTTAAAATAGTATTTTAAGACACTTGAGAAACTCACTTGAAAAGGAGACTCACATAAAGTACAAAGTAACTTACTAATGTAAATAAACACTCTTGTTTAGTTAGATTTCCCCAACCTAGATTTTTTTTCCTAGTGTAGTATTTCCCAAATTGTGTTCCCAGGAGCTGGATATTAACAAGTATTCTGTCAAGGAATATTACAAAGTGAATGGTCAAGTGAATTTGGGAAGTCTTAAATAAAATATTAAAAGATGTACTTAATACAAGACTTCACAGAACATTTAATTTGCTAATATGCACTGTGAATACCTAAGAGAGAGGGAGCAGTATTAAAAAGCTACCCTGGCTTACACCTATAATCCCAGCATGTTGGGAGGTCGAAGGCAGATCACTCGAGGGCAGGAATTTGAGACCATCCTGGCCAACATGGTGAAACCCTGTTTCTACTAAAAATACAAAACTTAGCCAGGCGTGATGGCAGGTGCTTGTAATCCCAGATACTCGGGAGGCTGAGGCGGGAGAATGGCTTGAACCTCAGGAGGTGGAGGTTGCAGTAAGCTGAGATCATGCCACTACACTCCAGCCTAGGCAACAGAGCCAGACTCTGTCTCAAAAATAATAATAATAATAATAAAGAGCTACATAATACATATATAATATATATATAAATATTATATATATATATATATATATATATATATATATATATATATATATATTTACCATTGAATATGTTCCCTGATTTTTATTCCCAAGGACCACTCCATAGGACTGATATTTAAGGGAATGTATTTTGGGAACCAGCAGTCTAATGATATTTTTCTCTTAGTGAGACCTCAAGTATGTCAGCAATTAACATATCCAATGCTGGGCTGAAGGTGCAGCCCCAGTAAGCACATTTTTGTTTGTTTGTCTTGAGAGGAAATATCCTTTAGGTATCAAATTGAGAAGCCCCTATTCACTCCCAGAGGTGAAAGTGCTATTTCCTTTATAATAAAAATAACATTGCTCAAAAGAAATGTTTTAACATTTCAAAAGTATTTTCTCTCAAAATTATTTACATCCTTCCTTCATGTCAGGCCTTTCATTAAGTCAAATAGTAACCAGTTTAGACTTGGTTTGATCTGAAAGAATATTTAGAAAAAAATACAAAACCAAACAAATAAAACTTAAACATGGGCACTTCAAAAGGATCTCTTAATTGTTACTCTTAATTAAATTTTCTAGGATCATCATGGGACCTTTCTCTAGAATTTATCTAGAAAAGCTTGCCAAATTTAAGTCTAATCCTCGTTATAAAGTTTCTGATCAACAGACACACACACACACACACACACACACACACAGCAGTTATACTAGAGTAAAAATGTCTGGACCACTGCAATTTTCAAAAGAACTAAAGTTATTCCAAGAGTTTTCTAAGGTAGAATATGACCAAGTTTCTCTAAATGGCATCTGAATTAACTGGAGTTCATTATAGGCTCTTAGAACCAAATCACGGATTACAGTAGGTTTATCTGTGTCAAAGCCCGCATGATATAAAGACCTGTACAAGAAGGCAACAGTAGATTAAAGAGGGTCTTGCTAGGCTAGGCAGCACTGGGCATACCAAGTTGTACTGGAGTGCATGTGAATGAACTTACCAGCACTTTCCCAGTGAACCCTGAGCCCCATTTAACTTTTCATATTCAGCACGTTGCGCACAGTTGACTCCCACCACATGTTTGTTGAAGGGTAAATGTAGTAATGAGCTAGGGATGAAAGAATTCCATCTAGATTAACAGTGTTAGAAACTAAATCTCTAATGAGATTTCAAGGCAATAAAGGTGTTGGAGTGCTGTGAAGACTTGCTGCTAGAACTTACTAGTTAGTAAGATTGACTAACCTATGTTTTCAGAGAAATGTAACAGAATTTATGTGACAGAATATTCATGAGGATTAATGAGCTCATTTTGGGAAGGTACTTTGAGATTCCTGGAGGAAACATGAAAAGATTTTAAGTAGTTTATATTTAATGAATCACTATCTCAGTTATCTAACTAGACTCTGTCTCAACTGCTACAGTATTTATTTTGGTGCATAATAAACAGTCATGCATGTATGACAACAATTATACATAGCACATTATGTCATAGGTTTAGATTTTATGCCCTGCACTTGATGAGGTGCTACAAGAAAACTTTACATAGAAGAAAGTTGGATTCTTGCACTTGGGTTTGTGTATTTGCAGGATGCTAATGGTGAAAATTCCTTCCTGACCATCGCGGGTAATCAGTTTATTCCCTGAAGCATGAGATCTGATTACCTTCATCTATACTTCACACACATGTAGTATATTGGATCTGTCACCCTAACTGAAAGAAATTCTGATGTGGTACCTGAAATCTAAGGAATTTCTCCAACTAGAAAGCCAATGTCGCTAAAAGTGAGCAACCTGTAACCGAATTGTAGGAAGAGATGGTACTCTAATATTAAGAAGCTCAGTAGCCAGAAAATATGAAGCATTTTTCTACAACATTTGAAAGAGAAGAAAACTATATTTGAGGCTGGGTAATTGATATAGATTTTTAAACTTTTAAGAATGAGGTTCTGTTTTGAATACAATTTCAAGCTAATAGATATCTACCTATCAACTCACTCATCCTACATTTTGTGCCTTAAAAACTGACCTTAAAATGTGTTTTAACAAGGCTAGATTAAAGAAATCGGGATGAACTTGGAGCACGCACACACACATACACACACACACACGTGCGCGCGCACACACACAAAGACGTGGCAAGGGGCAATGATTCCAGATGCCATGGGATGAAAACTGATGGACTCAATTTTCACAGCCACAGCCAGACAAAAGCAGGATCAAATCCAGATTCTAATATTCTCCTGCCATATGACCTGGGCCAAATTATTTATGTTTTAGCCTCAGTTTTTACCTCACAGAATATAAAATATTTTTTATGTTCCTTCCCTTTCCAATTACTTCCCCAGGTGTTCATGTCCTTATATGAGACCAATAAAGTAGTAGCAAGTTAAAAATTTTAATACTAAGTATTTTAAAATTTTCTTTTGCACTTAGCTGTTGAAATCTCAACTTCCCTCTCCTATCACCCCCTAGACCTCACCCTACCATCACCAGTTTAACATTTTATTTCCAAAGAAATGGTCATTTTAATTGCCCCAAATGGAGGACTACTATTTCATAAAACAAAAGGCTGCTGACTTATGCTTTAAAAGTAGTTTATCTATTCAAATCAAGGCATGTTTCTAAGACAAGCTAAACAACTGGTAATAAGTGACAAAATTGAGATGTTCTTCCTTTTGCTAAATTAGCAGAGAAGTCAGAACATATTGACTATTTAATCATTGAATGCCTCTGACTCTTACCTTTCAGCTCTGAGCTACATGGTAACCTTAGTCCTTAAGTCTGAGGCAAGTATGCCTGGAGAAACAAATTAGCATTGCCATCCTCCATCTATCTGACAGATGAGCACCAAATTATCCTACTGAAACAGGAAGACACTTTTACACCAAAGTCAACTACTAAATGGGTGTGAGGTGGGGGATGGGAAGGATATTTGGTTTTCCTTAATTATCTGTTTGCTCATCTGTGCCACTCATCACTATGACACTAATAGGCACCCACATTGGCTTAGACTGAAACTTAGGAGAAATAAATGCTATCTCAGCCTTTGACTATTAGGAAACTAATCATATTAAGGGAATAAATGGCAACTGGTCTATTCAGATCCCTAAAGTCATTTTAAAGAGCTCTCTTTAGCCTCAGGGTAACATTTTACCAAGTTCTTCTACCCAATAAAATAAAAATACTGAAAGCAATCAGAGAGAGTCAAGACAGCCCGATGGCATGATCCCAGGAATCAAATTGTTTAGTCTTGCTTTTGAACATCTTGCTCTGAAATAAACACTACTTTTTTACCTAAGGAGTGAGAAAGTCCTTAGTTTCATTAACCAAGAGTTATAAGATACTCTAGAATATTTTAACATACAAAATAGGTGCCTTAAATAAATATAGCTGATGCTACAGTGGTTCATAATAGCTTCTGAAGCATTCTCAGTAACTCTTGTATGCTAAGAAAAGGGTAAAAGGCAGGACAGTTTTTTTTTCTCCCCATTTTACAGATGAGTAAAAGGAGACTCAGAAGTATTGAATAGCAGGAGGTCACATTACTAGCAAGCATCATGACCCCTTTAAGAACTCAACCTTCTGGTTTCCAGGTGAAAGTCCTCTTTATACTTTAGAATCCTACCTGTACCTGCCAGGGAGAAAGTAGGCAGCAGAAGAGAGAATCACAAAGATGCTTGCTCCATGAAATGAATTAATTAGGATACTAATTCACCAAATAAGAAATGCTCCTTTGTGAATCACCAAAGCCAGTGAACTTTTCAATGGAATGAGCTTCCAAGCTGCAGCTACTTCCATGGAGAATTTAAATTATAAACCAGACCAAGAAGGTTTGTTTCAACCTGTGGCACTGCTTTATGTGGCTAACTCACAAGGTAGAAGGTAGATTGATGCCTCACTTACTCCTGTAGTAAACATAATGACTATTGCTTCAACATTCTTGAGGAATCTTCAGTTTATGTAGGTAAGATGCTGATGTTGTGCTAGAATCTTCAGGCTAGGCAACCCTTGTCACTTTAAAGACACAGGCAGGGACCACCAGCTCTCTCAGCACCCAACAATGATAGGAGAGTGTTAGTTTGGTTATGTGAGGTGGTGATGCCAACACAACATGTTCCTCTCACACCAGGCCTTCTTTCTTCAAAACCGTTACCCAAGAAATCTACCCTAAGTTCCCTTTGGAGAAAAAAAAATGAAATATTTCAAGTCTACTGTGTGATTTTCCCCAGAGCCTTTTTCTTTTCCAGATGCTACTTTGAAATGCTCAGGCTCAAGTCCAGATACAAAGTGCAGCAGATTGCTGCATTTAGTTACTCTGAGCCTCATTATGGCTCACCTCTGGGTATGTAATCAGCCTTTTATTCACCTAACAGGATCATTCTCTACTAAGGTGTTCATTTAAAGATGTTTCCTCACAGGGTCCATCTCTCAGAGAGCTCCTGGGAGAGCTGATAGGAAGCCTGTGCATGCTGAATATTCACAATTGCAAAAATAGTTACCCCTGCCATTAGGTCTAGCGGCCCTTCAGCTAGTCCCAAGGTTCTGTGGCTGCACTAGATCTACACAGCACAGGCTTGTTGCTGGCAGCGCAAAGGAGGAAAAAGACAGAGACGCACGAGGACAAGACGGACAGCTGGCAAATTATATCCAAGTGAGCTGCTCTCCACTGGGAGAGCAGTCCTGGCTTCCTGGGGTAATTCATCTTCCTGACACCTTCCCTTCCCAGGAGTTCGTTTTCGCCAGCATACTTTCTGCTCCTGACAAACAGGACAGATCTGTCTTTACTCCTCCATCCTGCTGACAGGTAGAAAGAGTCACTGCTAGTGTGCCTTCAGCTTTTTCCTTCTCTCATGACACTGCTATTTATCTACCACCCAATTTATTGATAATTATCAGAGACTTCAGGGAGTGTGGTGATTAGATAAAAGAATCTGGCTAGAGTTGGATGGCACTTTACACTGAAGTTTCCCGGGGCTGTGTGCCCCTTCAACCCTACTTTAAATCAAACAAATGGGAAATGACTAAACTAAGCCTAAAAACAGAATAGATGTTTCAACTTGGAGATGTATGATCAATTATGTATTAAATTTTACCCTAATTAAACTGATTTTAAAGGCAAAGAAATCTTATAAACTATGTTTAATGGAGAATAGAGAACATACTATTTTAGATGACCTCTTAATGAAAAGGAGAAACATTCTATATTTAAGATGTTTACTCAAGCAAGTATAATGCTGATGAAGGGAAGGAAAAAAAGACTATGATGGAAATTTGATTAACTTGGGTCCTAGTCATGGATGGCCAGGCTGCTAAATATTTGTGTGATTTTAAATCTCTTCCTTAACCTCTCTGGGTTTTAGTGTGTTAGTCTGTAAGAAGGAGGTTGTAACCAATGATCTCTTTGTTACACTCTGGGGCTGAGACTCCATCTGGAACCTCATTTCAAAAGTGATGTGCAAAAAAGTGTAACACGTATGCCAATACCGCTCCCTTCTAAAAAAACTAAAAGGTGAATTTCAGCAAATGTGTAATCCAGAAAGAAATACAGTATATTTACATTTCTAAATGACTGTCTAATTTTTTATAAGAACTTTCAAAGTTTCCCAAGCTTAAAACCTAAATGTAAATCTCCTCTCTTTGGAGACCTCAGGCAGGCACCAGTTGCAAATCAGTCAGCTATAGCTAATGCATTTTACTAATGAATCCAAGGCACAAATATACCCTTTTCTCTCTCTCCATATATACGGAGAAAGAACTCAAAACATGTTGGATGTCCCTTTAATTATCTTTACCTACCAATTGCCTCCTCTAATACTTTGACACAATTCAGTGTCCTCTGTCAGGTAGGAAGCTATTTCTGGTGAAGCAGTTTGGCATTAAACTTTTGTCTTAGTCAAGTATCTGATTGGCATTGCAACATCTGTTGCATTTGTTGCTTCATCACATCTAAACCTAATGCACTTTTTAAAAAATTTAACAGAGTTCCTCAAATGATTATTTTTAATTTTTTTTTAGATTTTGAAATAACCAATTATTAATATCCCAAAAAAGTATTCCAATTGTTTATCCCTCCTCCCTGCCCCTAAGAATTTGAGTACAGGAAGCTTTATCAGGGAGACTTCTACAATAGAGTGCCTAAAGGGATAAGCTACATGGCTAGCACTTCAGGGAAAGCTTTTGCTATCTCTCAAGAACTGTCAGAGGTCTAGGAGATCACTAACATCAGTTCCATTAAAAAGGTCCTCAGCTAACAGGCAAATGAATTTGAAAAATGGAATTTCAGGGCAGGCAAAGGTATCTGAATGCATAGGTCTTTCTATAACATGCAGTTTCTTCTTCCTTTAATGTGAGTATCCTGTTTGCTTTGACCTATTTAAATCGTTAGTTGAAAAATATCCTTTCTATTGCTTTGGGGAAAGATGTCACTGGCATCTTTTTAACTGTCACATGTGAGGTCAGGGCCTGACTTACCATTTGAGACATTAGGTAAAGAGGCAAGAGAAGAAAGAGAGGAAGGGAGGGAGGAAGGGAGGGAGGAAGGGAGGAAGGGAGGAAGGGAGGGAGGAAGGGAGGAAGGGAGGAGGGAAGGAAGGAAGGAAGGAAGGAAGGAAGGAAGGAAGGAAGGAAGGAGAGAAAGGAGAGAGAGAGAAAAAGAAAGAAAAGAAAAAGAGAGAGAAAAGAAAGCAGAGAGGCACAACAAAGTGGCCCTATCAGAATACATACTGCCTTTGGTGATCTAACGAGGATGGGTACAATCCACCAATAAAAAGTTATTCATTTGGGTTAAAATGAAACCCCTTGACAAATAACAAACATGCACAGAAATAACATATTTAACCGTTTGGTGACATTTTCTTTAATCAGACTCTTTCCAAATAGAGTTAGCTTAAAAAGTTGAGTCATAGCCAAACGAGATTCAGGATACAAAAATTTCATAATGCAAAGGGTAAAAAAAGTGTACACATGACAAGGTAAGAAAACACCATGTAGGGAAAGTGTACACATGACAAAGTAAGAAAACAATCCATGTAGGGAAGTATTAACACGAAAGTATAAGAGGTGAAAGAAAAGGATGCACCAAAGGCAATGCCACCAACAGGGCCCTTGAGCATCAGAATCAGTGGTCTGTTTCCAGTGTCTAGAACAACGCCAGGTACCTACGAAGTGCTCAATGATAAGTGTTACGTAAATGAATAGACTTTCTTCAAATAAATTACATATATATATATTTTTTCATTTTAAAATGGATGTAGGCCAGGCGCGGTGGCTCACGCCTGTAATTCCAGGACTTTGGGAGGCCTAGGCTGGCGGATCACGAGGTCAGGAGTTCAAGAGCAGCCTGACCAATATGGTGAAACCCGTTTCTACTAAAAATACAAAAATTAGCTGGGTGTGGTGGTGCATGCCTGTAATCCTAGCTATTCAGGAGGATTACTTGAGAAAGGAGAATTGCTTGAACCTGGGAGTTGGAGGTTGCAGTGAGCCGAGATCATGTCACTGCACTCCAGACTGAGCAAAAGAGCAAGACTCTGTCTCAAAAAAAAAAAAAAAAAAAGAAAAAAAGGATGAAAAAAGAGGAATAAAGCCAAAATATAGCTGAAATCTGCATTGGAAAACTAAAAATGAGTATGTGTCCACATTGGGTATAAAAAGTCATTAAATGGAGCTGAAATCAAAATGGGAGGCAATGCCTGTTTACCCTGAGGCTTTACCAGTAATGTGCCTCTTAGGCTGTTTACAAGGGGCATGAAAATAGAAGGTGATATGTGAACAGTGTAATAAATACATGAGATGAAACAATTCTGGGGATAAGTGGATGGAATTAGGCAAGGAAAACTTAAGTTAAAATAACTTCTGATACATTGGGTTTGAGGGAACAAATAGAAGAGAAACAAGAGGAACTCAAAATTAATGTGCTCAAAGTTAGGGCCAAAAAATAGCCCTGAAGATAAGATGCTAAACGATTCTATAAAGTAATTTATTGCCTATCAAAGATATGTCTGATGTTCTTATATCAAATATTTTCCATTAAGTAGATTTAATTTTTAATTTCCATATCAGCAAGTTTATAAAAGAATAAATATATTGCACATATTATAGGCAGCTTGACTTTCTCTTTTTGCTTATAATTGACATTTGCTATGTTTTGATAAAGCTGTTTCCCCTCTCACAGTTCAGTTTCTCCTTCTACTCTGTCGTGATGGGGAGTCATGTTGCTTAGCTGCAGTTAATGTGTGGAAGGAAGGATCATGGCTCCTGAAAGACGTCCACATCCTAATCCCCAGAGCTGTGAATATGTTAGGCTACATGGTAAAAGGGAATTAGGTTGCAGGTGGAATTGAGGTTGTTCAGCAGCCAACCTGAAGAAAGGGAGATAATCCTGGATTATCTGGGTGGGCCTGATCTAATCACATGAGTCTTTAAAAAAGGACAAAGAAGCAGAAGAATGCAGGCTTTGAAGACGGAAGAAAGGCACCATGGGCTAGGAATACAGTAGCCTCTAGAAGCTGCCAATGGCCCTCAGTTTTCAGCCAGCAAAAAAACCCCAGATCTCCATCCTTCAACCACAAGAAATTAAATTCTGCCAACAACTCAAATGAGCAGAAAACATTTGCCTCAGAGACACCAGAAAGGAAACCAAAGTGGTTTACGAAACATTTTAATTTATTTTTATTTCTAAAAATAATTTCAACTTTTATTTTAGATTCAGGGGGTAAAAAGTGTTGATGTCTTTCAGGGGGTAAAAAGTGTTGCACTAGTTTTAGACTAGTGCAACCCATAATGGACTTCTCACCTGCAAAAGTCTAAGATAATAGGTTTTACGTTGTTTTAAATTGCAAAGGTTGCCGTGATTTATTACAGCAGTGATAGGAAACTAAGACATAAGCCAGTTGTTCCATGATAATTCCTGGGAATCCCTAACTTTTAGGATTATATCGAGAAAGACGGAGTAGAAAGAAACTCAGAGTAACATTGAGCTAAGTGCACATGAGGCTATCCTATGGCCAAGTAGGGAAGCTCTGTGATCAGGGAGAGTTGCTTCCTTCTTCAAGGTAAAGCAAGATACTTTGGCTTTTGGTTTTATCTTACTTTGCATGTAAGGGATTTTTTCAAACAGAACCTGTCCAACCTATCTCAGTCCATTAAAGTGCCTTGGGTACTGAGCAGATAGAAACTGGCAGCAACACCAACATCTGGAACAGGCGGCTGCCAAGAGCTCTTTTTATGACTATTCCTCATTAGGCTCCCTGCTTCTTGGATTCCTGCCTCCATATCTGGCTTCCAAAATCTAGTTCTGGCCACTCCACTTTGGTGACCTCTGTGGATGCCCCTCAGTGTCCAGCTGGGTTCAGCAGCCTCCTTGACTCCTGTATTAGTTTCCTAGGGCGGCTGTAACAAAGAACCACAAACTGGGTGACTTAATAGATTAATTTTCTCACCATTTCTGTTTTGGGGGTCACAGTCTGAAATCAAGATGTGAGCATGGCCATAGTCTTCTAGCTGTTGGTAGTTGGCAGCAATCCTTGGTGATCCTTGCCTTCCTACGGAGTAATTCCAATTTCTGCCTTCATCATTACTGGCCATCTTCCTCATGTGTCTGTGTCTGCACACAATGTTCTCCTCTGTGTGTGCATCTGTCTCTGTGTCTCTTCCCTTTTTATTATAAGGATACAAGTCAGATTGGAGTAAGAGCCCACTCATCTCCAGTGTGACCTCCAAATAAGGTCACATTCTGAGGTTCCAGGAAGGACATGAATTTTGGAGGAACACTGCTCAACAAAATATAATTCATAACTCTGAATAGGTCCTAGATTTTGGCATCTCTTTAAGCTAAGGTAAGTGATTCCCTCTACCCACCATTACTTTGGCCAGTCAATGCTTCCCTGTGAAGTGATAAGAATATGTAGAATATCATATGTAAGAAACTAAACTAAATCAACAACTATATTATCGTATTATAATTATTAAAGTTTTAAATGACTTTATATATCCTCAAGTGATTCACACTTACCTCATCTGTGCTTCATATTGACAATGGTAATCCAATTCTCACTATCTCTATTTTGTAGTGGGATAAACAGAATACCAAAAAAGAATGCATTGTCCAAAACAGCACAGTTAGCTGACAACCAAGTAAGGCTAAAGACATCCTGACTTCTAGTCCCAATCTCTGGGTGTTCTTTCTACAATCACCATAGGAAAAAAATTACCCTTGCATCTAAAACTGTTTAACGAAGACAGTTCCCAAGAATTGAAAAGGGCATAGTGATGATCTATCTCATCTCTTATCACTGCCATAGTACCTATGTGTCCGCTCTAAGTTGCCCTATTGCTGATGAATCCTTTTTTCTTTCTTTTTTCCACCTGAGAATAAAATAAAATAGGAATTCAGAACCAACATATGGTAACATCATTCCTCCTCCCCGTCATACATAGAACATATTTGAGCATCATAGTAAAGTCACATGCAATAGCTCGTTATTAAAATATAGTCGCTTAAAAAAATACCAGTCATACAAAAAGTTCAAAATTCTATGTTTGCCATAGCACTGAGAGGCAACCACTTTTGTGTTTTAAAGTGGTGCTCTGATTTATTATCATCATATATAATGTTGATAATCTGTAACAGGTTGGAGCAAAGTGCTAAAAAATGTCTAAACCATAGATTTGGTTATTGAAGGGAGCAGGGAGCCAGCTTTCCTGTATTTATTTCCATGATCTCAATTACTGCTCATAGATCAGGATCACCATCAGACCACATTCATTTGAGTAAACACCATTTTTTTCTTATAAGAAATGTGATTTAAAAACATGACATTCCCATTAAAAGTATTTAATTGCTCATAGGGATAAATAACTGCATTCCTTCAGATTGTCAAAAGAATTTCTAAAAGAGAAGATGGCAGTAAATTTCTAAAAGGAAAAATGAGAGTAAATGAACAGGATAAGAGAATATTAAAACAAAAAGTTAGAAATGCCTAGCAGGAACCTGTACTTCAACAATCTAACCAAGATCATTGAAACATTAATGTGGAGGGGAAAATCCATAAGATAAATTCAGCAGAGTAATGAACAATGCCCATGGCTCCAAGGCATACTTCTGACAAACTCTTTACATATTTGGCTTCTGCCTGTCCTTCTCTTTAGGTAGAGAATTGAAATGTGAGTCTTCTGGCTCTAACTTTTGGTGAATTTGCTAAGACTTTCTAATCACTTTCATTTCACTGGAATTATTGTGAAAGAGGAAGTCAGTGCAGGTCAGTTTTCTAACTCAGGTGAAACAAGAAAAATAGAAAATAATAGAAGATAATCTCTAATTAAGATTACTAAGGCTTTGGTTATTTCATTGTTGTCTAATTCTACAATTAAAAGCATGATGTAACTGTCAAGAGAATGAAAAGATAAGCCATAATGGGAAAAATATTTGAAAAAGACATAATGATAAAGGACTGTTATCCAAAATATGTTAAAAACTCTTGAAATTCAACAATAAGAAAACAGCAGATGAAAAATGGCCAAAGATCTGAACACACACCTCACCCAAAAAGTAATACAGATGGCAATAATTATATATGAAGATTCTCTGTATCATTTGTCACTGGGGAAATGCAAATTAAAACAACAATGAGATGCCATTATACATCAATTAGTATGGTCCATATTTAAAACACTGACAATATTAAATGCTGGTAAAGATGTCGAGTAACAGAAAGTCTCATCTATAGATTGTGGGAATGCAAAATGGTACAGCCACACTGAAAGACAGTTTGGCACCTTCTTACAAAACTAAACATACACTTACCATACAATCCAGCAGTTGTGCTCCTTGGTATATACCCAAAGGAGCTAAAAACTTATATTCACACAAAAATCTACACATGAGTGTTCATAGCAGCTTTATTCATAATTGCCCAAACTTAAAACCAACTAAGGTGTCCTTCAGCAGGTGAATGAATAAATAAACTGTGGTACATCCAGACAAGGGAACATTATTCAGCAGTCAGGAGAAATGAGCTATTGAACCATAAAAAGTAATTTATAGATTCAATGCTATCCCCATCAAGCTACCATTGAATTTCTTCACAGAATTAGAAAAAACTACTTCATATTTCATATGGAACCAAAAAAGAGCCCGTATAGCCAAGACAATCCCAAGCAAAAAGAACAAAGCTGGGGGCATCACACTACCTGACTTCAAACTATACTACAAGGCTACAGTAACCAAAACAGCATGGTACTGGTACCAAAACAGATATATAGACCAATGGAACAGAACACAGGCCTCAGAAATAACACTACACATCTAAAACCATCTGATCTTTGACAAACCTGACAAAAACAAGCAATGGGGAAAGGATTTCCCTATTTAACAAATGGTGTTGGGAAAACTGGCTAGCCATACGCAGAAAACTGAAACTGGACCCCTTCCTTACACCTTATACAAAAATTAACTCAAGATAGATTAAAGACTTAAACGTAAGACCTAAAACCATAAAAACTCTAGAAGAAAACTTAGGCAATACCATTCAGGACATAGGCATGGGCAAAGACTTCATGACTAAAACATCAAAAGCAATGGCAACAAAAGCCAAAATTGACAAATGGGATCTAATTAAACTAAAGAGCTTCTGCACAGGAAAAGAAACTATCATGAGAGTGAACAGGCAATCTACAGAATGGGAGAAAATTTTTGCAATCTATCCATCTGATAAAGGGCTAATATCCGGAATCTACAAAGAACATTAAAAATTTTACAAGAAAAAAACAAACAACCCCATCACAAAGTAGGTGAAGGATATGAGCAGACACTTCTCAAAAGAAGACATTTATGTGGCCAACAAACATGAAAAAATGCTCATCATCACTGGTCATTAGAGAAATGCAAATCAAAACCACAACGAGATACCATCTCACGCCAGTTAGAATAGCGATAATTAAAAAGTCAGGAAACAACAGATGCTGGGGAGGATGTGAAGAAATAGGAACGCTTTTACACTGTTGGGGGGAGTGTAAATTTGTTCAACCATTGTTGAAAACAGTGTAGCAATTACTCAAGGATCTAGAACCAGAAATACCATTTGACCCAGCAATCCCATTACTGGATATATACACAAAGGATAATAAATGATTCTACTATAAAGATACATGCACATGTATGTTTATTGCAGCACTGTTCACAATAGCAAAGACTTGGAGCCAACCTAAATGCCCATCAATGATAGACTAGATAAAGAAAATGTGGCACATATACACCATGGAATACAATGCAGCCATAAAAAAGGATGAGTTCATGTCCTTTGCAGGGACATGGATGAAGCTGGAAACCATCATTCTCAGCAAACTAATACAGGAACAGAAAACCAAACACTGCATGTTCTCACTTGTAAGTGGGAGGTGAACAATGAAAACACATGGACACAGGGAGGGGAACATCACACACCGGGGCCTGTTGGGGAATGGGGGCTAGGGGAGGGATAGCATTAGGAGAAATACCTAATGTAGGTGACGGGTTGATGGGTGCAGCAAACCACCATGGCACGTGTATACCTATGTAACAAACCTGCACGTTCTGCACATGTATCCCAGAACTTAAAGTATAATAAAAAATATATATGTATATATTAAAAAAAGATATGGAAGACACTTAAATGCATGTTACTAAGTAAAAGAAGCCAATCTGAAAAGCTACATACCATATGATTCTAACTATATGACATTCTAGAAAATGCAAAACTATGGGGACAGTAAAAAGATTACTTGACAGTGGTTAGGAGGGAATGAGGAAGCACAGCACAGAGAACTTTTAGGGCAATGAAACTATTCTGTAGGATATTATGATGGTGACACATGAAGATAATGTACAACACCAAGAGTGAATCCTAGTGTAAACTATGTACTTTGGGTGATGACGTGTCAATACTGTTTCATCAATTGTAAGAAATGTACCACTCAGGCATGGAATGCTCCTGATGGGGGAAGCTATCATGTGTGATGGCATAGGAAGAGGTTTATGAGAACTCTATACTTTCTGCTCAATTTTACTATGAACCTAAAACTTCTCTACAAAATAAAGTCTATTCAAAAGGAAAAAAGAAAACCAACCATAGTAAACAAAATATTATCTGCCTAGGAAGCCTCTGTTTTCAAAGTCTTTCAAGTGCTGAAGGATGATTTCTCTGATGTAGGCAATAGTCTTTAAACAGAAAAGCAGATCTTAATCTCAGTTTACAGATGTGAAACTAAGAAATAAAGATAGCATGCAGTTTTCCAACATAACGTGAAAGGCAGAGATATTTGAGCTAGTAACTATAAACTACATTCCAATGTAGACCCATTGCCATAATTATAAACTCACTTCAGTTATATGACCTATAAAGTAGCTTCTCATAAGTATACTAATAAAGCAAGGCAGTGGGAATTTGCTTAATCTTAAAACCAATGCTGCTTGAATGTATCACTCTGAAAGATAGTGTTTATCTTGCTTTTGCATACTTGTTCCCATTTTGATGGGAAAACAACTCTGCCTCTATAGCATCATTAAACTAATTTGGGTTGAAGTGGTACATAATACAACACAATCATAGAGTCACACCATTATGGCAAAACTGTGTTGGGATGCTAAAATATAATTATATGACCGTCAGATATAGAAACAAAAATCACTGTCTATTAAAAGTTGTGAATCTTTGCATTTTCCCTTAGAAGTCCCAAACCGGTATGTGGAATCCTTTTGTAGAGATCTTAAGCTATTCAGGTCTTCTTAGTATCCCAGTGTACCTTCAGGGGAAAGCCTTTAAAGATAATAAATACAATTTGGAAAAGTCTCTCTGCTTTATTTAGTAAATCTTTCCACCAAAGCAATGCTAATGACAGAGCCAGATCTTGCTTCCACATTGTACTAATGGTAATGATAACATTATGAATAAAATAGCATTTACTGGCCAGGCATGGTGGTTGACACCTGTAATCCCAACACTTTGGGAGGCCAAGGAAGAAGGGCTGCTTGAGGCCAGGAGTTGAGACCAGCCTGGGCAACATAGCAAGACCCTGTCTCTACAAAAAAATAAATAAATAATAAATAAAATTAGCTGGGCATTTGATGCCTATAGTCTTAGCTCCTCAGGAGGCTGAGGCAGGAGGATTGTTTGAGTGCAGGAGTTCGAGATTACAGTGAGCTATGATCATGCCAACTGCATTCCAGCGTGGGGCACAGAGTGAGACCCTATCTCTAATAAACTGAGTGCCCACCATGTAAATCTATGTGTTTTACTAACATTTATATACTTTTAAAAAATAGACCTTATTTTTTAGAGCAGTTTTGGGTTCACAGCAAAATTAAACATATATTTTTTCACTTCCACCAGCACCACCCTAAAACAAGGCACCATCATATCTCACTGGGACTATTACAAGACCTTGCTAACCAGGTTTCCCCCTTCACTCTTACCCCTTTATATATAAAATTAGATAATTTAGCACCTTGCTTAAAGTTTTATAAATGCTGATCATGAGATTTATAATAAATCCCAACTCCTCTTCCTGGCTTACCTAATCAGTCGTCTGTTTACCCGTCCAATCTTACTTTTCTCACTCTCCACTGCATTACTGATTAGATCCAGGCTCTCTGACCTTTTTTGTTGTTGTTCTCAAATAAACCAATCTTATTTTTGCCATAAGACTCTTTTGTATTAACAATTCTCTGACTTAGATGTGCTTGTCTGGTCCTTGCAGAGCTACCTTTTATCATTTGAGTCTCAGACTTGTCCTATTCACACTTTTTTGCTACCTCCTTTTTTTATCCCAGCTTCTATCAGAAACCGACATTGTCATCTCTTCTTTAACTTTCTTATTGCCTCCCTCTCCCATTCTGCTAAGTGTGGCTGTCTTGTTCATTCCTATATACTCCAAGTACAGAATACAATCTTGGAATACTCATGTGCTCAAAGGTTTCCTGAATAAAAGAATGGATGCTTTTAATTCCTATAATCATTTTCTGAAACAGGTATTCTATTTTCTCCCAGTTTTTGGAGGCATGATGAAATAAGATTGTTAAAGTCATTAAACGGTAGCAGAGCCAGGATTCAAACCCAGATCTGTCTGAATTCATAGTGGATCTGTCCAGCAGATTGACCACACAATCAAGAAAATGTGTTTATACAAAGGAATGTTTCAAACGCTTTCGGGTGCAAACTATAGAATTTTCCAACATCTAGTTGAAACAAAATACAAATATTCTACATTCTTAGAAGTCAAAATTGGAACAATTATGGGGTCAATATTTCAATGGTTCAATGATATTATCAAGGAAACAGGTCCCTTTCAGCTTTCTGCTTTGGATATTGGTGTGTGGGCTTTATTTACGTGTCAGATATGAATCCAACAGTGTCCTCTGGGAACTAATCTGTTGAAGAATGAAGAGGCAAATGAATTTCTGTTTAGATTAGAATTTAGATCTTATTGATAAAATTTCAGTCATGTAACTAAACATTGTAATTAAACATCTTTCCCTGTTTCGTACATTTTACAAACTGTTTAAAGCAATGGTTCTCAAGATTGGCTGCACATTACAATCACCTAGGGAACTTTTAAATATTGATGCCTGGTCTATACCTTAGACCAGTTAAATCAGTGTTTCTGGGGGAGGGAGCAGGGTACCAGAGTTTTTTTTGTTTTGTTTTGATTTGAATTCTGTAGATGATTATATTCTGCCACAAAGATTGAGAACCACTAGAACATCACTTATGTATGCTAACCTGCCTAGATATTACTATTTCCACTTTTTGATAATTCACAAACTTATTTTCTCACTTATATGTTCCCATATGTTTATTTTTTCTTCTATGATATTTGATATGGTTTGGATGTTTTGTTCCCTTCAAATCTCATGTTGAAATGTAATCCATTATGTTGGAGATGGGGCCTGGTGGGAGGTGTCCGGGTCATGGGGATGGATCCCTCATGAATGGCTTGGTGCCCTGCTCTTAGTAATGAGTGAGTTCTCTCTGCAAATTCATGAGATCTGGTTGTTTGAGAGTGTGGCACCCCACTACTCCTCTTGCTCCTGCTCTCGTCATGTGATGTGCTGTTCCTGCTTCGCCTTCCACCATGAGTAAAACCTCCCTGAGACCTCACCAGAAGCTAAGCAGATGCTAACACTATGCTTCCTATACAGCCTATAGAACTTTGGCTATTAAACCTCTTTTCTTTCTTTCTTTCTTTCTTTCTTTTTTTTGAGACAGAGTCTTGCTCTGTCACCCAGACTGGAATGCAGTGGTGTGATCTCAGCTCACTGCAACCTCTGCCTCCTGGTTTCAAGCGATCCTCCAGCCTCAGCCTCCCGGGTAGCTGGGACTACAGGCATGTGCCACCACGCCTGGCTAATTTTTTTGTACTTTTAGTAGAGACAGGGTTTCACCATGTTAGCCAGGCTGGCCTTGATCTGCTGACCTTGTGATCCACCCACCTCAGCCTCCCAAAGTGCTGGGATTACAGGCGTGAGCCACTGTGCCTGGCCTAAACCTCTTTTCTTTATAAATTATCGAGCCTCAGGTGTTCCTTTATAGGGTCACAAAATGGAATAACACAATGTCCCTATAATATTTATTAAATAGTTGTAGTTAAATAAGCTACACAAATGAAAAAAGTAATATTGATTGGTTGCCATATATCATCTTAGAGCGTTCTTTAGAAAGGTGAAGAAAGACAATGTTTCAAACACAGAGCACTTTAAAGTGAACCATCTTACATTAGCAAGATAAAGTGCCTAATACACTTCTCAATGAAATATTATAAAGGTACACTATTTTTTACTTTTATAAGATGACCAAACAATATTGTAGAGAAGTATATTTTTCAAAATCAGATGTAACATCTTCCATCCAACACGCTCTTTTGCAATGTGACCTTGACTCTCCTGCGCAAAGAAGTGAGGCTCATTCTTTCTCCCCTTGAATCTGTTTGGTCTGATTCACATGTAACCAATGAAATGTGGTGGAAATGTAACTGTGTGCCTCCAGAGGATAGGTCAGAAAAGGCAATGCAGCTTCCACCTGGTTCTCTTGGAAGGCTCCCTTTCCAGATACTTCCTCTCAGGACTTCTCTCTCAGAAGCGCAGCCACCATGCATGAAAAGCCTGAGCCACATGGAAAAGCCACACCATCTCAGCTAACTTCAGCCTTCAAATCATCCCATTCCAGGCTCAGACACAGACACGTGAATAAAGAAGCCTCCAGGTAATTCTAGGTCTCAGCCATGCCAGTCACTTCTAGCTCCTCAGTTCTTCCCAGTTGAGATCAAAGACATCAGGGAACAGAGACAAACTGTTCTCACCATCTTCACTGTGCCCTGTCCAAATTTCTGGCCCACAGAATCTATGACATCATAAAATATTTATCATTTTTAATCCACTAAATTTGGAGTGGTCTGTGACACAGCAATGGATAACCAGAATAATCTCTGGAAGAATCACACCAGAAAAAAACACCAGTGAAAATGCTTATCTCTTTGAATTGTGTTTTTTTATTGTTTCTACTTTCCAACTTTACAAAATAGTTTTCTAACATTTGCTTCTATAACTTTTACCAATCTGACCTATGTATATGTATGATATGGTTTGTCTATGTCCCCACCCAAATCTCATCTCGAATTGTAGTTCCCATAATTCCCTCATGTTGCGGGAGGGACTCAGTGGGAGATAACTGAATAATGGGGGCAGTTTCCCCCATACTGTTCTCATGGTAGTGAATAAGTCTCATGAGATCTGATGGTTTTATAAGAGGAGACCACTTTTGCTTGGCTCTCATTCTCTTGTCTGCTGCCATGTGAGACGTGCTTTTCACCCTCCATCATGATTGTGAGGCTTCCCCAGCCACATGAAATTGTGAGTACATTAAACTTCTTTCTTTTGCAAATTGCCCAGTCTCAGTTGTATCAGCAGTGTGAAAATGTACTAATTCTATATATATATACACACACACACCCCAACTCCACAACTTCATTTTCTGCCTCTATTGTTTCTAAGTGCTGTTGAATTTATTTAATCATTTAATAAATATTATTTGACCAAGCTGCAAATATTATAAAAAATATGACAAAGCCCTGCCTTTAAATAGTGCTGGGATGGGCCATCAATATTGTGGCGATCCACAGCTCCAGGAAAGTTATATCTTTAGGAAAGTGACAATAACTACAAAATAGAGCTTTCTTTTGAAAATAATCTTCTTAATACAGGAGAATACTTTAAATCCATTCTGTTTAATATCCGGTAGCACCAGTGCCAGTCTCAGCATCCCTGAGGAGTGCTAGTCTCCAGAAGGAATTAAAACATACCTACAGTTCAAAATAAAGACTTTCCCTAACCTTTCTGGACCTTGAGCTCACAGTGTGTCCCTAGAACTTTCAATTACCATTATCTGCCTCCTGAATTTGGAGAAAGTACGGAAGAGGAAAAAGAGGAGGAAGGAAAATATTTTTCATATAAGTGAAAGATTGAATGTTAATGGAAAGTTCAAAGAAATGAGAAAACTTCTAAGAACAAATGAAGAATTTGTGGGTGAAAACATCACCAAGCTAACAACCTCTGATAGAGCCCCTATCTTCTTCCCACAAAAGTACTGACAAAGATAAGCAAAAGTATAAGTCACACAACACCATGGAAACCAAGACCTATATCCTATTCATAGAACTAGGAAGAAATTATATTCAGCTGGATCCACATCCAGATTTAGCAAAAAGACAAGTAAGTTGTTTTCTAATTTGTTTTAATTGACAAATGATTATACATAATCTATCAGGCACATAGTGATGTTCTGATACATATAATATAGAGTGACCAGATCAGAGTAATTGGCCTATCTATCATCTCAAATATTTATCATTTCTTTGTGTTGGGAACATTCAACATCCTCCTTCTAGCTATTTGAAACTACATAATACATTACTGTTAACTATAATCATCCTGGCTTGCAGCATATTTCTTCAGATTCTACTTTCTGATACAAAGACCACTTTAGAATCAACAAAAAGGCAATTTGACTTCCTTCAATGTTTGGCCTCTAATGCACAGTCTAGGCACTTTATCAACTAGAAATAGGACAGCTGTCTTTCCTGTGCCAGAGGAAAACCTTCCAGGTGACCACAGAATTGTCCTCACTGCCACCTTCTCTCTATATATTCTATGAGAGAGTAATATGTAATATGCCACAGGGCAATGCATGCATTACTTTCATAATCAGAAAGACTTTTTAAGAAAATTTAACTGAGAGCCTCCTGAAAAATAGATATTATGACAGAGCTCAATTTACAAATTATGACAGAACACAGCTATGTGTGGTTATGACTACACCAAGCTTAACTATAAAGTGTTTTCATTTCAGCATTTTTTCATGAAATGAATTGCCTCTGAAAGGAATAAAAACACGTCTGTATGACTGATCTCTTAGAATCAAGTAGCGTAGCTTTCTAAGAAGCGTAGCTTTCTAAGAATGGAAATGCTACCTGGTCGTGTGAACACTTTACATTATGGCCATCACAAGGGCCAGTCCCTCCTTCTGGAACTGGTGCTGACATTTTGAAAGAGTGAGAGAACTGTGTGGATGTGGCCGAGCAGATGGCTATGTGCTAGAGGGCAAAGAGTTGGAGTTCTATCTTAGGAAGATCAAGGCCCGGAAAGGCAAATAAATCCTCGTTTTGTCTTCACCCATGTAATAAAGGTGTTTATTGTTTTGTTCCCGCCACCCCCCCCCAAAAAAAAAGGGTGAGAGGAGACAGGACTTGGGCCCATCAGGAAAGCTCTGTCACTTGAGTTCTAAAATGTGCTACATACTATTTTAAGAACCTCCTAAGTTCTTCCTTGTTCTTTTAATTGTTTCTTTGAAGTAATTTGTGATACAATGTATTAAAAATGCCACATGAAAAGGATCACATTGTCTTTTTACTGTATTATGTTCTGCCTCCATAAATTTATGTTGATTTCATGAGCATGACAAATTAAACTTTTTAATAGAAATGGAAAAACACTTTCAAAGTGTACACAAAGAGAAATCTGGGGTATGTTCATTTTTTATAGTTTCTTAGGATCTCATTAATAAGGCCCACTTACACATTACTTGGATATAATGTAACTAACACACCTGTCCATCTATAGAGGCATACACCTTTACCACTCACTTTGTTTCCTCTTCTTAAGTATACTTTAATTTTTCTAAAGACAGGGGAAAAATGGAGGTGGGGAAGAAAATAGAGTATTTTCTATTTTCTAGAACACAAGATAATGTTCTTATAGTATCTTTTCAGAACCACAGCTTCTGCTAGCTACTGTAAAAATACAATTGCAACCCGAAAAAAATATATTGTATCTAAACTAACCAGCCAATTTGCCCAATCTCCAAGGTAAGTTTATAAACCAAATTGCAAAAATGCAATGAAAGTAATCTATCCCAATACTCTCCAAAGCGTGTTCTACAGAACTTTTGTCCCTCAAGTTGCTTCTAAAAAAAAAAAAGCATTCCAAGGTCAAACAAATTTGGAGAATGTTGTATACTATATGTCTCTCCTAGAGATTCAAAATATGAGTGAGGATTTTTTTTTAAGGCTCTGAGAAGGCCTGCAATGAAAAGACCTACTTACCTTTGTTTTATCCAGCATTTCCAACACTCATTTGGGCACGATACCATTTGTGTAGGGCTTGTGTGTTTGTCTCCTTTTGAGGGGCATAGAGGAAGACAGCTTAACTGTTTATTATATCCATATAGTGAGGAAGAACTGCCTCATTTAAAACAACAGGTATAAAGTATAGGTATTAACAGGCCTGGCATCCTCTGAAGGACTTCTCAGGAGCAGATGGGAACAGGGAAGAAAAGGCAGTGGTTGGGATTTTTTAAGATCCTTCTCATCTCTGTTTTCATAACACCTTCATCCATCTTTCCTGTCCCTTTTCCCCCAGGCAAGTTAATGGATTAACCTAAGAACAGAGAGTATCAGAGGCCAAAACTATGCAGTGGAGAATACACTATAGCTTCATATGTACAGAGGAATAAATCATTTCACAGTCTTTCTCCAAAGAAGCCTAGAAAGAAAAATCACAGACAAGGGGATTTGTCCTTTCGATGGTTATTGCCCATAGCAGGTGGTGGAAATGCCAACAGTAAAAACTGCACTTTGGCAACTAAAGCCGCAGCCCAAACACAATGATGCTCACAGGGGCTCTGTCTGTTTTCCTGGCTGCTGAGACAATAGTAACATCCAAATGGTAGCAGACAAATTATCATACTTGTTCCCTTTGCCACAGATTCCTGAACATGCACAGGAAGTTGCCCTTTAAGCCAAGATTGGAGAAAGAAAAAGCAGAATGAAGGAAAAAGAAAAATATCAGAAACAACAGCTATTACAACATAACAAAACAAAAATAGGTCTCTTGACAAGTCCAGCCTCAAGTGTTTTAATTCCTTAATGTTCAGAGCAATACCAGGGAAAATTACACTGTTACTGTAACAGTGAGGGTAGGGGAGTCTTATCTGCAAATATCTTTAAAAAGTGTTTATCATGTTTTGGATTACACTAATATACTTCACAAAAATGTTGTTTTCAGGACTTGGGTTGCTTTTGAAAGTCATGAAGACAAGGGTTTTGAATTCCCTTGGAATAGCCACTGGATGTTAGTAATCAAAGAACATTAAGTCTCAATTATTGAAGACTGTAGAGATGACATGACATAACAATTAAGAGAACAGGATTTAAAATCAGATAGAACTGGATTCACATCTGAACTCCATCCCTTATGAGCTGTTTAACCTTAGAGAAAGAACTCAGTTTTTAGGGTCTCCTGTTTCCTCATTGGTAACATGGAATAATAATAATACTTCACTGTGCTGTGAGATTTCACTTACATAAGGTGGACAAAGCATTGAATTCAGTGCCTAGTACACAGTAGGGATGTAATAAATGGCAACTGCAATTATCATCATCATCTTAGAGATGCGATGGGTTAGTGATTCTTTTCTCCAACATTAAGCAAGGAAGTATTTTCATTTCTTCCCAATAAAAACAATTTAACATTGAGCACTTGTGAAGTGCCAGTCATTCTTCTAAACTCATTTTATGTATTGATTCATAATTCACAATGACAATACAGAGAAGTACTCTTAATAGCCCCATTTTAAAGATGAGAAAACTGAGGCACAGAAAGGTTAACTAGTTTGCCCAAAGTCAATAATAGCAGGTAGTGGGGTCCAGACACAAATTTAGGCTATTTGGTTCCGAAACCTGGACCATTGACAACTGCATATGAAGAAATTAACATACTTGTCCAAAGAAATGAAAATATTATTTTGAAGGAGAGTAGCGACCACATTTTCTATTTATTTTACTGTAGGAATTTTAGATTTGGGTAAGGAGGCAATCCAAGCAGGTGGCAAAAATAACCAAGTGATGAAATTTAAAACAGAAAAGAGAAAAAGGATCGTTTAAAGAGCCCTGTGTTTCTCTAAGCTTTATAGGGATTACCAGCCCACTGAAGAATAGCACAATCCCACCAAATACTACGAAGAGACTTTACAGCAACAAAGTGACTCTATTGTTTTCTACTAGCTGAGTAATCTAAAATAAATGAATTAGAAAGTGACAAAGTAACTTTGATCCAAGCATCATTGTTGCATCAATAGCAAATATGCAGAAGTCAGGAACGTTTATTAAAACCAAGGAATTCTATATGAAATCTCAAAGAAACTTTCTGAAGACATGAGCTTCCTAAAGAAGTCGGTAGACATTTTTCTTAATGAGACTAATAATATCTCATAAATTCAAGCCAGCTAAGTTTCTACTGAAATAATTTCTACTGCCCACAATCAGCAGTTCAAATTAGATATAAACCAGAGTGTTAGTTGCACAGATCCTCGCTGATGCTCAGAGGAATTACCCAGAACATATAATAGATCCCAAATGGGTTTCTTCACAAGACAGAATTTGATTATCTTGTTCATTTATTCAACATTTTCTTAATGCTTCCTACGTGCCAGTTACTGTAAGTGCTGGGGATACCATAGAGAAACATATCTGTCCTAGTGAAACAAGCATATTCTCCCAGTTAAAGTGTGTATTGTAAATCTTTAGCACTTGATCTCAAAATAACATCTCTCAGAACACCCATTAATGGACAATATAATCTTAAGAGAAGTTGACATTAGGATCTTTAATAGCTCTGCTAAGACTTTATCCATGGAAGACAGGGACTGAAGAAATTAAGGTGGTTACCCAAAGGCAAAACCCTTAAGGAAACAAAGAGAAAAGTTCTACCAAACTTATCTGTAACTGTCCAACACCATTAAATAGCAACTCACAGGGTAAATTCAAGGGGAAATTCACTTACGCTTATAACCAAATGACCAATGCCATTGATACTCTAATAACTGGTTCTTCCTCACTTATCTTCATCTACAAGGTTGAGTACCTTAGAGTTACAAATATTGCTTTGCCCCATATGCATATTTTGTCTCTTAACAGTGTTGTACTACAGACTAATAGCTGTGCATAAATAGTAAACAGAGGACTTTGGGATTTAAGAGGACCAATATTTATTCATTCATCACTCATTCACTGATTCATCATATATAGACATCTTTCATGTGCCAAGCACTCTTTTAGGTCTTGTGATAAAATCGCTGGTATAAGAAAGAGCTCCTGACTCCCAGAAGCATACGTTATAATGGGGAGACAAGCAATAAAGTAATAAACAAAGATAATTAGTAAGTGCTATGAAAACAAGACAGAGTAATGGAATAGACCTTGGGAAGACTATTTTAGATAAGATAATAGGAAAAACTTCTCTCAAAGGTAACATGTGAACTGAGACCTTAATGATCTCAGTGACAACAGGGAATGAGAGTCTCTCACATAGTAGAAACTTTACTTATGACTCAGAATTTATAACACTTTACCCATTGTGACTTTTGGAGAAGTTTCCCTAGTAATTACATAGCAGTGCATTATAGACAGACTGAAATATACCCTTGATTCCCTCTTCTAAGGAAATAGGTGATTGGACCTCTGTTTTTTTTTTTTAATAAAGACTGCTAGACAACACCTTAAAAAACTCAGAGGTTGCTAACTAGCAATTCATTACTTTAAAAACTTTTCACACCGGGCGCAGTGGCTCACGCCTATAATCCCAGCACTTTGGGAGGCAGAGTCAGGTAGATCACGAGGTCAGGAGATCCAGACCATCCTGGCTAACATGGTGAAACCCCATCTCTACTAAAAACACAAAAAATTAGCCAGGTGTGGTGGCACGTGCCTATAGTCCCAGCTACTCGGGAGGCTGAGGCAGGAGAATCGTTTGAACCCAAGAGGTGGAGGTTGCAGTGAGGCAAGATCACACCACTGCACTCCAGCCTGGGTGACAGAGCAAGACTCCATCTCAAAACAAAAAAACAAAAAAACTTTTCACAAAAGTCTTGCTACATTGTTGGTGGGAATATAGATTGGTATAACATTCTTGGCAGGAAAACTGGTAAAATGTGCTGAATTTTTTTCTTAAAGTATACTCTTACACTGGCAATTCTGCTTCTGAAAATTGATTCTAAGGATATAATTACAAACATTTTTACATAGTTTAGCTATAGATATGATTAATAAAACATTTTTTGTCATAATAGAAATTGAAAAATAACTGTTATATCCAATAAAATTGAGTTAATCAGAGTAAGTTGTGCTATTTCATACAATAGAATATAGGTAAAACACCTGAAACAGTGACCACAGAATAAGAGCTCACTGAATGTCAGTTGCTATTATGAATATTACTGTTACTTAGTCATAGAAAATAAAAGTTTAGATGAATATTAATTGATTCAGGAAGATGTTCAGAGGCATTGCAATGAAGAAATATTCTTTGCTAAAAGAAGACCTTTGGTAAATATTTTAATGTTCTTAGTGTGAGATGTTATTTGTCCCCTTTTGGCCAAGAAAATAAAAAATTGGGGTACAGATGTTCTTGGCTCAGCTTTAGAAAAAAATGAACCATGATGGCATAGAGCCTAATGAATGAATTCACTTCTTTAATCCTACCTCGATATGCTCATTTTCCATAAATGCAGGAACTGTCCTGGATTAAGTGACCCCCAAATTTATCATCAGAAGAAAGAAACCCCACCAGAGAGTTAGCTTTGTCTCCAGAACAGTTTAAATTGTTTTGAATTGCGGGTTCCAATTCTTTCAGAGCTACACAGTCTAATTACTTCAAATAACACTCTTTGGGATAGACTCAAAATGTAGTCTTTCTTTCTACAAATATGATAATCTGGTTCCTTTAAAGTATGGAACAATCACCTTGTCCCTTCCTCTTTATACCCTCTGGGCAAGTTACTTAACTTCTTAGTTTCCTCATCTGTAATATTGGAATAATAACGTTACCTACTCCACAAAGTACTTAAGAAGATTCAATGTGTTAGTATTTTTAAAACACATAGAACAGTGCTTTTTATATATTTATTAAATAAAATTTAAAATATATATACCATAAAAACTTTAGACCAGTTTCTCAATACTATACCTTCACAACTGAATTATCATCAAGGAGCCATAGGGATCCTCTGTATCAACAAACCCAGAGGCTTCCAAGAACAACCCTTATGCCTATGCAACAATCCCCTGGGACCTTGGTTCATTCAAAGCAGGATCTTTAGTGGTAGGTTGTGGCAGAAAGAACGGGCCAAAGAAGTAAAGAGAGGAGTTAGGGAAGTAGAGAGGGTACATTCCGGTGGCAATTTCCCTTATGCCACATGCTCATCTTCAGAGTGGTTTCCTTATTCATGTTCTCAGATTCAACTCCACTTCCTCACTGCCCCTATTCTGAACTCTGCTGCAAATTCCCTTTCCTTGCACCAGTTGTTAATATGAAATCCTCAGAAGGGACAGCCTCATTTTCCTTTGAAATGCTTGCTATTCCTACTTCAGTCTCTTTTGTCTTACTATGTCCCAGATTTCCATTCATGTGCACTTTTGGTTTTCTCTACAATTGAAGCTAGTGTTTTTCGAAGAGAAGTGTCATGTTCGCTTGGGGCGGGGTGGGGGTTCTCAGATTCCTGAGATCCATTGCAGACCTACTGAATCCGAATTTAGTATTCAGGAATTTGCGTTTATTAAAAAATCCCAGGTGAAGCTAATGACACTTATGTACTGAGAACCGTAACCCAAGGAACTGACAGAAATGAACATGGGGAGGGGACTTGCAGAAGATTTCTCATTGATGCTGGCAGGTGAAAATACTTTCAAAACTCACAGGTTTTTGTGAGCATGCCTCAGAGGCAAGAGGGCCAGGAAGCAGCTGGGGAGGGATGGTGTGCTGGGGGACATCGCCCCTGGATGTGGGAAAGTTTGTGAACAGGCTAACATCTGTAACTTGATCCGGTAGGAAAAGGGGCTCAATGTTTTTGTTTTTTTTCTTTTCTACTAAACATGTGAATGAATATCATAGCAGTAATGAACACTAAGACTTGTACGTTAGTTTCCTGGTTATGTGCATTGTGTTCTGCCTTTCTAATGAGATAATAAGGTTATTAATTATGCCTAATATTGGTATGTGTGCCTATTAAGATTAATTAAAAATTGAACGCTCTTCAATGTTCAAAAAGAAAAGAAAAATTCTAAAAAAGAGACACCAAACACTCCTTACTAGCTAAAGATAGTCACAGTTCAGAAAGCAGCACTGGGATGTTATTGACAATAACTCATTAGAAAAGGTATTGGAAAGGCAGGGTTGTCACAAGAAAAGGTGATAACAGTTAACATTTCTAGAGCATGCCTACTCTTCAGGCTAGCCTTTAAATACTTGTATACTTCAGCTCATGGAATTCTCACCACCTGTCTCTGGAGTTAACAGCAGCTGTATCCCCAGTTTTTCTTTATAGTCAAGAAGAGATGATGGACCCTTGTCACTGACACACAGCCAGTAAGTGGCACAGGCAGACATAGAGCCCATGCCATCTGATTCTACAGCCTGCTCTCTTCCTTCTGTGATTCAGTGACCAGCCTCCTTCAGCTGAGTTTTCTCCTCTAGAGAATGGGGATATAATATTACCTGCCTCCGAAGGCCCTTGTAAGGATTAATACGTGCAAATCCTTTAAGAATGTCTGGCATAGTAGGCACCATATATACATCTGCTATCATTCATCATCATTATTAATTACCAATGATGAGTATAACTTGATGCAAATTAATGCTAATAATTTATATATTAGTAACTGAAATTATTATGTATTGATAGTCACATTCCATTTGGGCAGTGATATAACAAAAACAGACAGAAAAATGAATGACTTTTATGAGGGCAGAATGGTGTGTTCCTCCATGCATGTTCTTCCAGACAAGTTATTAGAAGCATCTGGCATGCTTGTCAAAAATAGGGATTCCAAGAGCCTTATCAGAGAACTACAATGATGAGGTACCAAAATTTGTATATTCAGGGAGAGCCTAAATGATTCTTTTAAACACTGTGTTTGAAGTTCCTTGAAATAGAGGCAAAATTAAGTGTAGCAACATGGAGAAATAGAAGAAAAGTCAGCTGTCAGTCAATCTATATATCCCTCTGCATGCTTAAGTTATATATCTTAAAGGCATATATAGCTAATCCTACCAGGAGGTGGTGTTGCTGGATTTCTGTCATAGGACTAAATGATTTCTGACTTGATAGAGTGTGTACTTATAATGTAATTAAATAATTTCCATACCATTATGCTCTATTAGGACTGAATTAATCCAAGCAATAAAAATACAATAATGGTGATTGATGATGGTGGATAAAGATGGATGGTGATGATAATTATCAGGTACTTGATGTTTTACAACAAAATTATACAGCCCTATTTTCATTAACTTTGTGCTGAACTATGGTGATAAGATTGAGTAACAAACTTTTTAGGCAGCAGTTCAGAAGGAAGTCCATCTAAATTGCTCTACTTATGATGCACTCTTGTAGACCTCTAGTCATCTTTGCTGGTGTATCTGTTGTAAGGCTTCTTAGCTCAAAAATTATAGTTTTAAGATATATATTAAAAACACCAATGTTAATTAGAATTGAAAAATACAACTAACTGTTAAATGGATTGAATGAAATATCACAAAAGCAGAGCCACCATAAAATTCGGTTCCCAAGCTACAGGGCATTCCATTTTCAAGTACGAAGCAGCAGCTAAGGAAAAGTTACTATTCGCGGCAATTATAAATTTTAATTCCTTGTCCAATGTCCATTTGGCTCATACCTCTTCCCCAAATCAACAACAGTGAAGTGTCAAGGAAGAAAAATTTTCCAGCCTTTGAAACATAAAAGGAATCATTGCTGACACAATCTACAATGCCTAAATATTTACTAAGCACAAAGGGAAATCTCAGTTGGTAATGCTCTTTAGAGGGAAGAATGTGATACCACCTGCCAAAGGATTGCCAGAAGGAAGCAACCAACACAATCAAATATGATACTGTGTGTGTACATACACCAAGTCTCAGCTGTGTCATACTTTCAGTACTGTCCAAAAAGCAGTGATTTCTAAGGAGACAGCTAGAAAGGAACCTGGATGCATGCCCTTCATTTCCTTCCCTGTGCATAAGTACCTCTACCTGTGCCAGGGGAAGCAATCAGGAGTGTAACATTCAGGGTGTTTTTGTTCCATATCTACCCAACAGCTGCTTGGTTTCACTGACAGCCACTGGAGTCAGCCCACAAGAAATACACCCACAAATGTTTAATTGATGATGACTTAAAATATGAAAATGAGCATATTCAGACATTCACCCTCACAAGGAATATGTAAACACCCAAATACTAAACAATGCTATTTTTCTTATGCCAAGATTCTGATGCTGCTTTCTTTGGGTAGGCAAATGTTTCTTTTTATACCCAACTCTTAACTGGATGCTACCTATACTAATAAAATGGGTATTTTGGTGTTCATTTTTTTACTCAAACCTTGGAATTTTTCATAAAATCCCTTACTTTGCTTGGTAACTGTTACCATATGAGGCATTTGTTGGAAGAGGGAGGGTGAGGGAGAAAGAGGTAAAGAAAGACAAAACCAAGCACATTTGGAAAGAATAACTGGCACTTCCATATACCAGAGCAAGCAGAAGAAGCTTCACAATTATAAATGTAACTAAAATAACCATCTCTTTTTCAAGCACTATCAGCACCTGACGGGAGCTCTTTGTAATGGAAATCTTTTTTCTTTGTATCTTTTTACTCACATATTAATGCTGCAATCTTACTTGTGAGTGGGAGTATGAGTGTAGCATGGGCCACACACAGGGGGATGTTGGCACTGGCTGGCACTGTCTCCCAAGAGCCATTTGACTGCATATATCGCTACCCAACTCTGCCTTTCATGATGCCATGATGGTAGCTCAAAAGCTTTGGTGGGAGTGTTTATACCAGGGAAATCATCAAATGCTCCAAACCAGAGCTTTTTCTCTCAGAAAGCCAATTAATTATTAAGTAAACATTTGCCAACACTCCATTGGCCAAATGAGTCATTCTTGACAAATGTCTACAATTATAATTAAGCACCTACTATCTGCTAATAATTTTACATGTATATAGTATTTAATCCATACAACTAGCCTTAAGAAGGTGCACGGTACCTGTTGTTATCTCTGCTAGACAAGGAGACTGAAGCTCAGAAATTAAGTTGTCTATTATTGCAAAGCTTTAGCACACATTTTGAATCCAAAATCCACCTCCATATCACTATATAATGCTGGTGTCCAAGGTTACTGGGTTATTAGATCCCAGAGAAAAATGCTATCACAGGAAATCTTGACATAAACATGCTAATTGGCAATTAACATTGTAACTAGGACAGAAAGATGTGGCCTGGATATTTGAGAAATTCTAGATGGGGCATATGTAGGGGTGTGCCGCAGGGATTTATACTCTGTACAGCCCTAATTCATTTATCTACTGCTCTAATGAAGACACAAAGTATGTTTATCAAATCTATTGATGCCACAAAACCTGGAGGTATATATATTATCTTGCTTGTCTGTTGTGTATATCTCTGTGAACTATCTAATATCCTTTTTTGAATAGGCAAGTTTTGCAAAGCTAAACAAATGAAAAATGTCATATGTAGCAATTTAAGGAGAGAATATTAATCCTGAAGAAACAATTTCTGGAGGAGTTTGAAGGCTGTCTTCAGATCCAGAGTCTGCTCTGTAGAAAATAATCTCCATCTTCCTCCAGGCAGTGAAATTAGACCAATAAAGGAAAGGTATGGGAAGAAAGATTCCATTTCAACAGGAGGAGTTTTCTGGTAAAAGATAATGGACACCAGAATGGCCATAATCAAAAAATCAAAAAACAGTAGATGTTGGCATGGATGCGGTGAACAGGGGGAAGTTCTACACTGCTGGAGGGAATGTATACTAGTGTGGAGATTCCTTAAAGAATTAAAAGTAGAACAACATTTTGACCCAGCAATGCCACTACTGGGTATCTACCCGGAGCAAAAGAAGTCATTATATGAAAAAGATTCTTGCACACACATGTTTATAGCAGTACAACTCACAATTGCAAAAATTGTGGAACCAACCCAAATGCCCATTAATCAATGAGTGGATAAAGAAACTGTGGTATATATATATGATGGAATACTACTCAGCCATAAAAAGGAATGAATTCACAGCATTTGAAGTGACCTGGATGAGTTTGGAGACTATTATTCTAAATGACGTAACTCAGGTTGGAAAACCAAACATCGTATGTTCTCACTGATATGTGGGAACTAAGCTATGAGGACGCAAAGGTATTACAGTGACACAGTGGGCTTTGGGGACTTTGGGGGAAGAGTCGTAGGAGGGTGAGGGATAAAAGACTACAAATATGGTACAGTGTATACTGCTTGGGGAATGGGTGCACCAAAATCTCACAAACCACAACTAAAGAACTTACTCATGTAACCGAATGCCACCTGTACCCCCAATAACTTACAGAAAAAAATAATCTTAATACCTTAAAAAAGGTGTATATTCTCCCACAAAACAAGGATATGCCTATTATACTTCACACTAATAATCCTTATTTTCTCAGGTATGGAACAAAGACAATATGAGAGCAATCATTCTTCTGCCTACCCCCCAACTCTTCCTACACACATTTTTCCCCCAAGGAAATGTATAAAACTGAGCCTCCTGAAAACCTCTTCAGGGAGAACATAAGCCACAGAGGATTTCTGTGACTCTTGTTTATCTTGGGCACACCCTCAAGCTCTAGCTCAATAAAACCTCAATTGATTGAGGAAAAAAAAAAAAAAGATAACACACACCTCATTCCTCAGATTACTCAAGGGAAGCCTGGAGGACCTCTCTGGTGCAGTAATGGTTAAGCATACAGGATTTGGACCCAAGTTTAAATCCTAACTCTATGGCTTACTAACTATATGGCTTTAGCCAATTCTCACGTGCTTCCTCGCCTGTACAATAAGGATAGTAATAGTACCTGTTTAATGAGTTGTTGTAAAAATTAAAAGAAATATGTAGTGACGTAGAAAGTGCTTGAACAGTGCCTGGCAAAAGGTCAATGCTATGTAAACATTCACTCTTATGTTGTCAAGAGAATTACTATTTTGGCTTAAATCAGCAGCTTTATCAACTTTAATAGTTTGTGATTTTTGTGCTTACTTAACTTCCCCTTGGAACACAGTGCCAAACTCTTAGTTGGCCTGCAACAAATACTGGTTGATGAATTAATACCCAGAGTCTTTCAATCATCTTTATTAAGACTGTCATAAAAAATGATAGAATAAATTCTAGAGAAAGAAAGTAGAGTCAACATTCTCTAAAAGGCCAAATGCTGCCAATCTCAGAGGTTTTAATACCACTAGGTGTTTCTGAATATGTTAAAATAAATAAAATATCATATCCTTAAGAAACAGCCCAACAGCCTGGCCCAAAAGGCCTTGACTTTTAACAACCTTTTAAAAATAATATTGCTAATTTTATATCTTAGTACATATTTTTTCATCCTTGCTTTCATAAATTCATGCAAATATGAATTGAGTTGGTATGTGCCACGCATTGGCAATAAGAGACAAATGCTATATTTTCACCACTTTGTCCATCGGTTTTCTTTGTTTTGAAAGATTTATTACTCATCTATTAGTTTTGATAAGTGCTCTCAGGATACAAAGGATGCACAGAGTTGTTCCCAAAAGGGTCATCATCATTTCATTCTTGAATTTCTACCTAATAGGCAAACTTGACATCAGTACTGCTCGCTGATTCAAAGCAGTGGCTTCAATATAAATTTTATCCAAGTCCTAGGAACTGAATTTGACTCAGTCTGTGCCATTGTCCTGGGAAGAAATGACCATAAAGAAAGCCTAAATTTCTTAGTATTATTTAGCTCAAAGAATAAAAGGCTAGAGAGGAAAAATCTTATATAATACGTATTTCCAAAATTGAAGGATTATTACTTGAGAGATAGTTGCCATATGTTCTTTCTGTCCCCTGAGGATAAACAGAGGAAAGCCAAAAAAAAAAAAAAAAAAAAAAAAAAAATACAGCTCACAGGAGAGCAATAGGGATTTCAGATAGTGATTTAAAAAAGAACTCCTGGGTAACAAGTGCCATTGAATATCAGAACAGGTTAGCAGGACACAGTGTGAAATCTCTTTCTTCAAGAGTATTAGTTGTGTGTACATTGTTTTCCAATTTGTTTCACCACCTGTTTTTCTATTTTTATTAATGAAGAAAGAATAAGAAAAACCTAACTCATTCCTTCCCAGAGATGTGTTTCTACGGACAAAGTGATGACTGTAAGAGACCTTTAGGGCTCCTTTTCTTCTTCATCCTCAATGATCCCCATTTCCTTCCATCTTCATCTCCAGATGACGCAGCTGGCCTTCAAGGCCCAGGTCCTCTGTCTGTTCTGAGACCCTCACTATTCCACATATTGCCCCACTTCTACAGTTCTTCTGACCACCCCTTCTCTCTTCAGTGTTTCCTTGCTTCCCCGGTATACTCTCATCATGGATATGCCAAATCCTCTAAGCAAACTTCTTTTCTGTAGAGTATCATCCATATTTATGAATTCAACCATCCTCTTCAGGAGGCTAACGTGCAAATCCACAACTTTAGCTTAGCAGACTCTCTCAAACTCTAGTTCAGGATTTCCCACTGATAAATGGGTATTCTCACTGGGTTATTTCATAGTCATCCAAACCTCAAAACTCTCACCTTCAGAACTGAAAATGACCACTTTCCTCTCCTTCTCTTGGCTTTTAAAATATGTCTCATTGATATCTTAATTCTCTTTATGTACCAGCCTTCAAAATGTATCCCTTCTTACCCTTCTCTGGGTCTAGGAAACTCCCCCAGTCAATGACCTCTCAATTCTTGTTCTATTATATAGCACACGTCTTTCTTCTCCATAGTGACCATCAGTGGTTCTCAAAATATATACTGAATAGAACCCAAGGTTCTATCTCAGCATTCCGGGCCTTTTATAAGTTTTCACCAAATTATTTTTCCACAGTCATCTGCCATTTGAAACCTTTCTACTTGAACCAAATTTATATTCTCACATGTCTGGAATACTGCTGCTTCTGATCCTTTGCTCAAGCTGGGCCCCAACCATGGTTTGTCTGTTTGAATCTTATTCAGTGTTATCCAAAATCCAGTACCAGGCCAACTTTCCTTTGACTACCCCAGGGAATAGTGGTGGTCTTCCTCATCCACATTTCTATCTCTATCAGTTGATTTGCTCTTAACACATATCACCTTAAATGGTCACTTGCTTTTTTCTCATATGTTGTTCAACATATAACTTTTTTCGACTTTCAATTGATTGCAAACAATTTGAAAGTGTGAACTCTGGTAATCTTTATATCTTCTCCCTTAAAAATTACGTTAGTGAACATTGTAGTTTGTTTTTTCTCATCTTCAATCCTCAGTGTGGCTTCTTTTGCTGTCATCAGCACAATCACAAACACAACCCAACACATTTAATTTTGTCCTTCTCACAGGACTAGTAGATTTTATTCATCGTTTCACTCTAGAGGGTATTTAATTCCTGATATAAAAAATGGAAAGGCACGAGAGGAAATGAATAAGGTAAAAATAGAGAGACAAGAAGGGAAGTAGAAAGAGAAGAAGGAAGAGAAGGAAAGGTGAAAATAAGAAGGGAAAGAAAGAAGTCCCAAGGTTTTGCTTTTTTTTTTTTTTAGACGCAGTCTCACTGTCGCCCAGGCTGGAGCGCAGTGGCGCCATCTTGGCTCACCGCAACCTCTGCCTCCAGGGTTCAAGCGATTCTCCTGCCTCAGTCTCTAGAGTAGCTGGGACTACAGGCGCATGTCACCAAGCCCAGATAATTTTTTTGTATTTTTAGTAGAGAGAGGGTTTCACCATGTTAGCCAGGATGGTCTCCATCTCCTGACTTCGTGATCCGCCTTTCTCGGCCTCCCAAAGTGCTGGATTACAGGCGTGAGCCACCGCACCTGGCCAGTTTTGCTTTTTCTAAGTTCAGTAACTCAGAAATTACTTGTAGTCTTTCTCACAGTTCAATCCCCATTTTGGAATATGAGTCAAGAAAACTGTAGCTTATATCAGGTGTTCTCTGGAGATGATTCCTCAGATTCAAGGTTTC
Source organism: Homo sapiens (assembly GCF_000001405.40). Lineage (NCBI taxonomy): Eukaryota > Metazoa > Chordata > Mammalia > Primates > Hominidae > Homo > Homo sapiens. Next base: position 79,198,742 of record NC_000014.9, on the reverse strand, counting down.
TAAGTAAACCAGCTAACAGCTTCACTGCTACAATGAAGAAAGTTCCTGCCCCAATTCCACTGACCTAGTTGAATGGAATTACTGACATTTAACTTCTGTGCATCATAGTTAAATTTTCATCTGCTTATTCTAGGAATATTGCCTCTTTGGTTCCCTTAACTTTTTCTATCATTACATTTATCTCCCTTTAGCATTAAGAGTAATGCACATCGTTCAGCTGTGGCATAGCTGTCTAATGAAGCAAATCATATCGTTCTCACTAAATCCATCAAATCCAAATACTAAAAAATGAAATTCTCCTAGTGGTATAAACAAACTGGTTTTTAATACACAGAATATCATAACAGATTGTCCTTGGCTGTTCCCTATACTGTATGCTCTGACACTTGTTGGTTTATTTACAGTGTTTCTTCTAAAAGAAGAATTGATCAAGGGAAAACAGCCAACTTCAGAATGTTTTAAATCTACATTACATACTGTCAAAATAACTTTTAAATATATGCAAAACTGAATATTTGCAATTCAAAACAAGAGCACATAAGGGGGAAGGAGAACATGCTTCCATTTCATATAAATCACATTAGAAAGAAGTTATTTGGATTATCCATATTTTAACAGACTCACAGAGAAATGTGTGGCAGAGTGGAATCAGAAGTGGAACCTGAAGATGGGACTGGGACTGAATTACTGCAATCTCATAATAAAACTTAAACAGATGAGGAGCTGCTTCTTATAGATGAGCAAAGAGTAGTTTCTTCAGATGGAATCTACTCCTGGTGAAGATGTTGTGAACATTGTTGAAATCACAACAAATGATTTAGAATATTACATAAACTTAGTTGAAAAAGCAATGGCAGGGTTTGAGAGGATTGACTACAATTTTGAAAGCTGTCCTACAGTGGGTAAAATGCTATCAAATAGCATCGCATGCTACAAAGAAGTCTTTCATGAAAGGAAGACTCAAATTCCTTGCGGGAAACATCTTTGTTGTTTGCCACCCCAACCTTCCGCAACCACTGCCCTGATCAGTCAGCAGCCTTCAAATTGTGGTTAAGGTCACCAAACCAAGCGGATGCCTGGCTTGGGTTTTTGACAGTGGAGTCAGCGACAACAAAGACAACGGATAATTAGAGTTCATTCAAACATCCTTTGAGATTTCCAGTAAATCATGGAATTAAAAAAAAAAAGAAATTACAGATACAGTAAGAAAAGAAAAAGAGAAGAAAAAACAGTAGATAAGCCACGCAAAAGTCTTCCTACCAAGAATCAAGTTCAAATGACTCAGCTGGTCAATTTACTAAGACTCTTGTTCGGGGTAAGCAGCAACTGAGAACCACACTCTTATTATCTCTACTCCTAGCAAAATTAACTAATTCAAATAATCAGTATGTCATTAATGTGGTACAAGTCTATTTTTGTCTGTTCATTCTCTTATTTTCCAGCTGGTTACAGCAGGGCTATGAAGTCACATTTGCCTAATTTGACCTCATCCCCTGACTACCATGCACCTACCCAAGTTTTTAGACTGGGACTTGAGGATGTCAATCTGGCATTTTTCTTAAGTGGATATAAGGCAAACCTGAGAAGGAGAATTTCCACAGAGACATTTGGTCCAGTAACCAGCCAAAATTAACCTGTAGAAACAGAAAAGAATTTGCCCAAGCTAGCAGGCTGGACCCAGAAATAGGATAAGAGATGTGTAATAGAGCTGACCTAGCCCACCTGAGCAAAGCCTATATAACCTGAACCTCAACTGACCCCCAGACCCTTGAGTGAGCCCAGCTGAGATTAGTGGAGCCATTTAGCCAGTCTCAAGCTGCAATAGCTGACCCTCAAGCAACCCACAGCTCCATAAGAAATAAGTGTTTATTGTCCTGTGCTGCTGGAGATATTGTGGTTGTTTGTTATGCAGCATATTGCATGGATAACTAATTAAATTAATAACATTCCTGACCTAATTTGAGCTGCACAATATACCTCTGTATCTTTGCAGCACATTTCTTTTTTTTCATACAACAGTTTAAGCAAGCAAATGAGACCCAACTAATATACTAAAACACACTGAAAAGGAAAAAAAAATCTATATCTATATCTATCTATCTATATCAATCACAGCATATTAAGGGCAACATTCTACAGAGTGGATGTTTGGTATGGTTCGAATGTGTCCCCCAGAGTGCATGTGTTGGAAAGTTAATTCCCAATGCAACAGTGTTGAACAATGGGACCTTTAAAAGGTGATTAGGTCATGAGGGCTCTGTTCTCATGAATGGATCAGTGTCATTATTACAGAAGTGAGTTGGTTATAAAATTGAGTTTGGCTCTCTCCCATGCTCTCTTGCCATGTGATAACTTTCACCATGGGATCATGTAGCACAAAGGCCCATGTCAGATGTCAGTTTCATGCACTAAGACTTCCCAGCCTCCAGAACTGTGAGCCAAATAAATTTCTGTTCATTTTGAGTTACCCAGTCTGGGGCATTCTGTTATGGCAACATAAAACTAACTAAGACATGATGCCTGTGAAAAACACATATAGATGTGATCCAGGCTATCAAGTCATTCACTTAACTCAGCCTGCATAAATCTGCCAATAGCCTCTATAGACAGTGAAATGTGATGCAGTCACTTTTGCCTCATTTAATCTCACCCCTGACTAGTGTGCTCCCTCCCTGGGATTTTAGATTATAACTTGAGGATGTCAATCTGGTATTTTTCTTAAGTGGGTGTGAGGCAAATCTGAGAATAAGAAGTCCCAGCTAGTCATTTGGTTCAGGAACCAGCAAAAACTAATCTGTAAAAATACATTAGTACTATTTTCAAGCAGTATTGTGTTCCTTTCTCAGGAATTATTTTCTCTTTCAACCTATCTCAAGTTAACTATTTTATTTCCCAATTCCTTAAGGCCATCCTCTCCACTAGGGATCTCCATAGTAAATAGATCTGCCAAAGGAATTTATAGGAGGATATCATCGATTAGCTTATATTGTATCTTCATTCTACCTAGAATCACTTCTGTTTTCATGGGTCTTCTTGGAGATGCAACATTTTCACCTAAAGGCATGAGTCTCTAATAGCAGAATTTCAGACTCTGTGGTGGGTGAGGAAGTATTTCCCCTAATCTCTTCAGTTAAATAAGAGTAAAGACTGAGTCCTAAGGTGTTCAGACACATAAACCAATCATATAATGAAAGAAGAGATGTGTCCAATTTTACAAAGATGTTTGCTCTTATTTTCCTCCAGACACTTGGAAAAACATTAAGCTGGAGAAAGTAGAGAGTAAAAGTATGCCTACATGTATACTCGTGGGCTGGTGGGTATCAAAACCTTGGGAAAGACTCAAGACTCATCATATTTTAGTGCTATTGCAAAGGTACTTCCAGGTTTCTCATGATGCTAAAATGCTGGGATGAGAACTTTTCCTTTCTCTTTTGTTTCTGCTTTTCCCAAAGGCCTCCTGACATGGAGAGATAGATGATGGCAAGTGGTAGAGATCAGGAAGTCCACCCCTTGATGCCTGGGTTCCCAGACTCACATTTGTCATTCCCAGTTTTCTCCCTTCACTGGGAGCATCTTGTCATGGGGTCTGGCTTGAATGCTCTGAGGAGAGGAAGCCAGGGGTACAGGACAAGAGACATCATTCGTTATCACTCAGGCAGGAAAATGAAGGATAAGAAGGGGAGGGAAAAGGAGCCATCCATGACTAACTCTTGATTAATTACCAGTTTTGACAGTGACAAGGAATGTGGAAAACAGAGAAGAAATATCAGAGAAAAAAAAAAGAAAATAAGATAAAAATGTGACTTTATAGCCTCTTCCTCCACAGAAAATAACTCCCTTAAATTAGAAAAATCAGTTAATCACATGAGATATCTTACAGGCAGAAGCTGAGAATTTGAAAACTGTAAACAAATAGAGCTCAAGACTTGTATTTTCTGTAAGGCCCAGCTCATCTAGGAGATCTGAAGGTGTAAGAAGACTGTCTCTGAAAACCAAAGCCAGGTTTATACACACACATTTCATTTGTCTCTTGTGTGCCTTCTTTCAGTATTGACAATGAAAAGCAATTACATCCAACACAGGGAGAGACACTGAGACCTCTTGGGTCTGACTGCCTGTCCTACCTCAGGAATAAAACTTCATAACTGCTACTTTCTTCTGGGGGAATCCTCTGAAGGATATCTTTGCCTTTTTCTTACTTTCCTTTATAGCACCAGCCAGCCTCTAAACTATACAGACAAACATACCCTCCAGCTATCTTCTTATGTGCTAGAAATTTCCAGAAGCAGAATTGCTCTTCTGGTCAGACAGTTCTGTTCCTGGGATGCACCAGTGCAACACCAAATATGTTCATTTGGAAGTTCCCAAAACAAACAGTCAGCTGTACAATTTAGCTCAAAGCTAGACCGTTCTTAGTTCTTTCTGGGAACAGAGGGAGGAAAAAGAAGGTTCTGGCATTTTTGCATGTCAGAGAAGATATATGTATGCCATCATTCGAAATAACCTGAGCAATCACTGAAAACAGCACAAGTGAGAGGAATCCTGGGAAAATGTAATATCAGGGTCTGAGTCAAACGAAAGTTTTAGTTGTCTAAGAATCCTAGAAACCTCTCCTTAAAAGTTTCTATTTCTCCCACAGGAATATTCTTGATATAAACATATCCTCTGAAAATTGCGCTAATTACATTAGACTAAAAATGTTGTTATAGTCTAAGTGTTTGAAGAAAGTTAAAACACTTCTGATTTTCAAGTTTCAAATAGTTATTTCTATTATTACATTTATAGGATTGTCTCATCTGGGTTGAACTGATCATATCTGCATTCTGAACATTGCAGTCTTAGAATAAATTGACATTGTTCTGTAGGGCAGCGCTAGTCAGAGGTAAACTATTCCATACTTTGTAGGAAATTCAAGATGCTATCATTCAAGAAAAACACATTAGAAAACACTTTACTCATGTAGGAGATCTCATTCCTCTAGTGTATCTTCTCCATCCACCTGATTTCTTTCTCTTTCCTTTACTGTTGTCTTCAAGATGTTTCCACATAACTGTGATTGAAATGAGAGTTTAAGCAGATTTTTTTCCCTGCCCATTAGTTACTTTGGCCATTTGGAACCAAAATTTCACTTGAGAGGGGCCTTCTCAATGATTAAAAAAATGTTCACAGCTTATAATAATAAACATCGGTTAAGGTTTGCAAAATTAAAAATTGACTGCAACGTAAGTTTAATGTGCTTAGAACTATGATTTATACAAAGATTAATGCAACAGCAATATAATCTAAATTTAAATAAATCAGATTCCAAGACACTATCTTGTTTGTTCGCATTTCTCACCTTCTTTCTTTTAACCATATCCCTTGTTCTGTGACACTGCTAATACACTACTAAAGGTTGAAATAAATCTCTCTAACCAATCTCTTGCCTATGCAATTTAAAACCAAAGTCAGATCCAGAGGGTAAAATCCATCTCTCTTTTCCCTTTAGTGTTCTCTTTAATTTATATTCCTTTAAACATCACTATTCTTATTTAGAGGCTATAGCATATCTATAATATCACCATTCTTCTCAGAAGTTCAATTTTTTTCAATTTTTTTTTTTGTCTTTAAAACCCTTCTATGACAAAGCCATAGGGTAAGTTTATCACTTTAGCTTATTTTAAGAATTGTACATAGCCAGGCGTGGTGGCTCACGCCTGTAATCCCAGCACTTTGGGAGGCCGAGGCAGGCAGATTACAAGGTCAGGAGTTTGAGACCAGCCTGGCCAATATGGTGAAACCCTGTCTCTACTAAAAATACAAATACTAGCCAGGTGTGGTGGCAGGTGCCTGTACTCCCAGCTACTCAGGAGGCTGGGGCAGGAGAATCTCTTGAACCCGGGAGGTGGAGTTTGCAGTGAGCTGAGATCATGCCACTGCACTCCAGCTTGGGTGACAGAGCGAGACTCTGTCTCAAAAAAAAAAAAAAAAAAAAAAATTAAGAGAATTGTACATGTCTTTTTACATATTGCTTCTCTGAGAGTGTCAACCTTATTCGTCCCAGTGACAAACTTTGCACACAGTAGGGGTTTAACAAAATTAGTCACAGACTTTCAGAGTTGGAAGAGACCTTTTGATATCTACATGGTAATTCTGAGAACTATGGAAGTGAAGTGACTTTTTCTTTTACCTTTCAATGTTTTTTCACTGTGCTGGATTTGAGGTTAAATAGCATTGGTTTGGAAAATATTATCTAATATTGCATATGTGTACTGGAAAATATGCCTAAAATATCCCCAAATACTTCCTGTGGGGTCCATTTTATTACATCTAATTCAAGGTTGCATATTACCTACACCTCCTGATGGTTCCTCGGTGAGACAAGAGTACTTAAGATGATTGACTATAGGTTGAATATTTACCCTATGTCAAGCACTGAGCTAAGCACTTTAATCTTGACAACTATCTCTAAAGAAGGCACTATTATTATTCCTACTATTATCATATTTTACAGAACAAGAATCAAAGACTTAGAGATGATCAGTAACCTGGAGAAGTTATACAGCAAGTAAGTGCTAAGATCCCAATCCAGTTGGGATCTGTAATCCCAGCACTTTGGGAGGCCGAGGTGGGCAGATCACAAGGTCAGGAGTTCCAGGCCAGCCTGGCCAATATGGTGAAACCCCATCTCTGCTAAAAATACAAATATTAGCCAGGTGTGGTGGCAGGCACTTTGACTTTAGTACCCAAGTTTTACTCATTGTATCCACATGGTAGAATGCAAGCAGCATCTAGTAAGCACTGTCGTTTCTGGGTTCTTGGTTGGTCCTGTGGCTTCCTGACCACCTCTATTTGAGATTTTCTTAGAAGCCACCTTATCTATTTGTGAAGTGGTAAGGCATGCTTACTCATCGCCAGTGGAATATCAATATGTACTATTATAACAGTGGAAAGGTCAAGGATCTTAAATATGAACAAATCAGCAGTTAAATCCATATTTTAATCACCTGCTGTATACATTTAGGCAAACTTAACTTCAAGTCTTAGTAAGTCGTTCTAACTGGGTTGTTGCAAGATTTCAGAGTCGTATGTCACATGCCTGGCAAATAGAAAGCTATTAATTGTGTTTACTGTCATCAATGCTAAAAGGAAAGGTCTTATATTTACCCATCTATGCTATAAGGCTGGAATATTTGGATATTTTCTATTTTCTCTTTGTCAGGAGACAAATTATGCCAAGACCCCAATGTAAGTGGGAACATAGTTATGCAAGAAGTCAGAAGCCAGACAGATCCCCAATTACACTGGCTTATGACACCTTTAAAATTGGGCAGGAACATGTAGGCCAACCTGAGCCATCACCTTCAAAAGGATGCCTCCCTGCAGAACTGCCATTAGACGAACTGCTACATAAATTGTCTTCATCTATCATCAATTTCTGAGGCACTCCTGCTCTGGCTACTGGCCATGCCTTTGTATTTCAGTTTGCTCTCCCTGCTTCCATAGTTTGTTTGAGTTGGTGTCTGGCCTGTGTTCTTATATCAGTTTCACTTTCTGAAATACTGGTATGATGACTTGTCTATAGTTCATTACTTCATGTGTCTCATGCAATGGGCATAGCAGTTTCTTTAGAACTCCAGTCCTGCTGATACTCAGGCCTTCATCCAAAGACCGCAAAAGAGTATTTTCTCCTGGGGGGCTTTCCGTTAATCTCCATTGGCTTTTAGTTACCATAACCAAGGCAAAACAGTGACCATGACTTAGTGGAGATGGGAAACTCAATGAGACAATTATGTATGTGTACGTCTGATTCATACTGAATTGTTTTGGCTATTATGCTTTAGATTATGTACAGTTTTTATAAGGGTAAATCCTGAGACCTTGAAGAATTCTGCTACAACATAGTTTCTTTCATAATGCCTATATGTTCTCCTTCTTAACAGTTTTCAAGTGACTTAGTAGAAGGATAAGATGAGAAGAAAGGGTTCAGAATAAACCAGATCAAGTTTCCCTTTTCCCTACCATGCATCTCCACCAAGAGATTCATAATTCCAGGGGATCTTAAGAATAATTTGCTTTTTTCAGGAATTCTCTGGATGGGTAACTGGAAGCCATACACACGGCTTCTTTTGATATATAACCTCGGAATATCGAGAGAAACCAAACATTATTGGCGTTTGGACACTTGCCTTCAGTAGCACACCGGGGCAACTGAACATAGCCAAATGCCAGCAATGACCCTAATGAATCCTGCACTCCAGAAAATAGCAACCACTACGTGTCCATTAAAAATGACCAGTGGCTGATTCTGCATTTAGAAAAGCTTAAGGTCTTTATCATAAGGAATGAGGTTTCACAAGTATGTATAAGTTAGACTTAAATTCATTTTTTCAATACTTACTATATGCCGTGAGCCCTGGAAAGAGAGTAGATATAGATACAGAGAGGGAAGAAAGAAAGCAAAAAGAAGAAATCTGTCAGTTAAATGAGAAAGACCTGATATTTTACTGACTGTCAAGAATAGCCTGATGATGATTAAAAAAAAAATTTCCGTAAGGATTATGGACCTTTTCAACTTAATCTGAAAATGTCTCCATGACAAGAATATTTTCCCCTTCTTTTTTGATGCAATATCTGATCCATAAAGGACTGCTGGCTAAAAATTATAGGGAAATCTGAACAAATGAGTAGATGAAACATTCTTTCCCTTTAGAAGATTTTTTGAAGAATGTCCAATATCACCCAATTCCAAAATGCAATGTGCTTCTTTGTCAGAACATATATTCAAGTGTAATATAAATTCCTGCCCTGCCATAAATATTGTCTTCAGGGAAATCTTTCTCAAGGAAGAAAAAAATCACAGTGTAATACATTTGGATAGACACACAAATCTGTCTATCCTCTGATGAATCGATAAATATGTTTTTATTGTTACTGTGAAATAGGTTATATATGTATACAGATGTATGACTTTTTTATGCATGAAATAATGTAGGATTGCACTCACCATAGACTGACTTACAGTTTTCACTGTTCTGTGTCACCGCAGAAAGTTATTCTCACAGGCCTATATTGCATGTACCCTGCTAGGAAGGGACTCAGGAAAAAGTCCCTACAAAAGCAAAAGCCATATTCGTCTCTAGACGACTTGAACTTTGTGTTGGGCAGAACAGTGAAAGGGGCAGGGAGGAAGAGATAAAGAAGAAAGGGACTTTTTTTTTTTTAAATTATACTTCAAGTTCTAGGGTACATGTGCACAATGTGCAGGTTAGTTACACATGTAACCATGTGCCATGCTGGTGTGCTGCACCCATTAACTCGCCATTTAGCATTAGGTATATCTCCTAAAGCTATCCCTCCCCCCTCCCCCCACCCCACAACAGTCCCCAGAGTGTGATGTTCCCCTTCCTGTGTTCATGTGTTCTCATTGTTCAATTACCACCTATGAGTGAGAATACATGGTGTTTGGTTTTTTGTTCTTGTGATAGTTTACTGAGAATGATGATTTCCAGTTTCATCCATGTCCCTACAAAGGACGTGAACTCATCATTTTTTATGGCTGCATAGTATTCCATGGTGTATATGTGCCACATTTTCTTAATCCAGTCTATCATTGTTGGACATTTGGGTTGGTTCCAAGTCTTTGCTATTGTGAATAGTGCCGCAATAAACATATGTGTGCGTGTGTCTTTATAGCAGCGTGATTTATAGTCCTTTGGGTATATACCCAGTAATGGGATGGCTGGGTCAAATGGTATTTCTAGTTCTAGATCCCTGAAGAATCGCCACACTGACTTCCACAAGGGTTGAACTAGTTTACAGTCCCACCGACAGTGTAAAAGTGTTCCTATTTCTCCACATCCTCTCCATCACCTGTTGTTTCCTGACTTTTTAATGATTGCCATTCTAACTGGTGTGAGATGGTATCTCATTGTGGTTTTGATTTGCATTTCTCTGATGGCCAGTGATGGTGAGCACTTTTTCATGTGTTTTTTGGCTGCATAAATGTCTTCTTTTGAGAAGTGTCTGTTCATGTCCTTCCCAGCACCCTGAAAAATGGAGAATTTCCAAAGCAATCACATTATGCCTAGACACTTACAAAGCCATTTGGAAGATAATGACCAATGATAGCTATTCAAAAGTATGGTGGATTTAAGAATGGCTGCTGTCCCCTCTGGGGAGTTTGAAGTTACTTGGCTCAATTGCCTTGTTGGCTTTGTTTTAGGGAAGAAATGGCCTTTGTCTGGAGATCCATTAACTACATGTGCATGGTTGCTCTGTGTAAAGAAAACCTTGCTATAAAGACTGTTCTCCAGAAAGATACCTATTAGAGATTTCATCTTTCCAGTATATTCTAAAAAAAAAAATATGTATTGTACAAGCCAAAGGGCTAGCAGCAACACAAATTTTCTTGAAAATTGCCTATTTTTTCCACATATCTCGAATTTAGAGATTTGAGATTCCTAAAATAGGAGACTTGGAAATACTTCTTAATGCTAGGTCTTATATTTGGAAAGAGACTCTCCACTATCACCACCAAATTGCAATAAAGGTTTCCTCTCAATTTATCAGCCAAAGTACTGAATTTAATAAATTCATGCTATTTTTTGACTGTATGCAATGTCTCTTAATGACTCAAAGCATGTTACAGATGTTTTCTTTGCAATGTTGAATGAAGGAATAAGGGATACCTGTGTAATGAACTTGTAACAAGATAGAAACTCTAGTTGACCTCTTATGGTAAAAATGTAAAGGCAAACAAAACCTACCAATGTTACACCAAGACACAAGCTGCTGGGTTACAGTGTTGGGTTGTCATCCATGTTCTCGACTGACCCTTCTGAATCTCTGCTTTATGCAGGAACTGTGATGAGGATATAGTGAGTGGTACACACAGAGGGCATGACCCATGTCCTCAAGTCGCAAACAATTTAGTCACACCAGCTGAGAGCATCTTCCGTCTCATCCAAGAAAAGTCCATTGCTGAAAATCTCAAAAGGGTCTTCCTGTAATCACCCGTAAAATCTAGTGTGATGCTAGAAAAGGACATTCGCTATTTTTTCTTATGCTTACACATTTTTTTTTTTTTTTTTTTTTTTTTTTGAGACGGAGTCTCGCTCTGTCGCCCAGGCTGGAGTGCAGTGGCGCAATCTCGGCTCACTGCATGCTTACACATTTTTAAGAATCATTAATTTCTGAAATTGCATTATATTACCTTTTAGAAGGGTAAATCATTATGGTGAGCACAGAATTATTCTGGGGTGCAATATGACACTTACTCTGAACCTGAGGGAAAAGGTCATTTAATCTGTTTTAGCTCCAGATGCCTCTTCTATAACTGCTATCTCTAAAATGGAGATAACAATACTTTCTACCTCACAGAAATATTGTAAAGATTAAATGAGATAATGAATTTGAACCATTTAGCCCAGTTCCTGGAAACAAATGTTAGCTCCTAACAATAATAAAAATAACAATACAATGCCTTGCCACCTATGAAAACTGCTAAGTGGTTCTGGAAATTTACCAACCTGCTTTCAAGAGGGGCTCTGACTCCGCTCATGGTACACTTGTTTGAAATTTTTCAAAAAGAATTTATCTGTATGCTTAAATGCTACAAGCATCACACTTGGGTACTCTGGCCAGCATCCTTAATTTTAGGCTGGTTCTAGGTGAACGAAGCCCATGGCCTTGGTTAACTATCACAGCAGAAAAATGGTAAGAAGGAAACTCGATTGGAAGGAATCTGTCCAGATGTTTATTTCCCTTCATTTAGGTCCATATAACATATAGATCAAATGCTCAGAGCTATTAGGAGCAGAGAAAAATGCCAGAATCGATGCTGCAACACATTTTGCGTTCACCCTGAATTAATGCCTCTATATAAATGTTGTTGCTGATTTAACTTCTTGTTAACGGCCTTAAATGTTTGACCCGTATCTTTGCCTGCTTGAATACAGGAAAATCTACATCATGGATTTCCCTGTAGAGTCATGAGACAGGAATGTGCAAAGCCAAAAGAGACAGCTGGGAAGTGTAGCAGAAGTGAGTGACCCTGCCCTTCTTGGGAGGTCATCCTTGGAGAAAAAGCTGACACCCTCACATCACAAAATGTAACTACCACCCAAGTGAGATCTGTTACTCCTCACCAAAAATTAAGGTGGAGTTTCTTTCTAAAGGATAGAGAAATTTTGGAGACTTGATTTCTTTTTCTTTCTTCTGCCTTTGGGACAACTTCAATGTAATTACTGAAAGCATGAAAAAATCAACTTTGGGTTTTCAGACATGTATCTTATTGTGACTGCCCATTGTTTCCAAATTTGATTCACTGGAGATGTTAGTGGGTGATTCATAAAAAAGAGAGAGACATGGCATGTTAGCCACGTTGGATATACACAATACATATTTATATATGAAAAGGTCTAAAAGTCCCACAGTAAAGCAAAATTTTAAAATTTGTACACAACCCTATATTTACTTAATATATTTAAGTAAGAAACACCTTTTTTTTTCAGGTAACACCCTTGACGTCACGATTTGTTTGGATGCAATTCTATTTCATGTTGAACCATTAACATGGAATGGAATAAAATAGAATGGCTATAATTTACTGAGTGCTTAAGGTATGCCAGGCAAATACTATTCTAACTATTTTGCATGTATCAGAACATTTTATCCACTCAGAAACCCTATGAGATATGTACCATGAACATCTCCACACTGAGAGGTTAAATAACTTCTCAAGGTCAGACAGACAGTAACTGGTGGGGACAGCCTTGATTCAACCCAGACAGTTTGACTCCAAGTCATCTCAAAATAGCATACAGCTAGAAAACCTAGAGAAGTGCCAGAAATTATTTTATAAAATCTTGGGGGGAAATGAGTATTTTTTAATCTAGAAAATTTAATGCTGTAAAGAAGAAATAGTATCCTCATATATAAAATAGGATTCAAATAAAAAATTTCAGTCAGCTGTAGTAAAAATTCCCAAGTATGGGCCGGGTACGGTGGTGGCTCACGCCTGTAATCCCAGCATTTTGGGAGGCCAAGGTGGGCGGATCACGAGGTCAGGAGATCGAGACCATCCTGGCTAACATGGTGAAACCCTGTCTCTACTAAAAATACAAAAAATTAGCCGGGCGTGGTGGCGGGCGCCTGTAGTCCCAGCTACTCGGGAGGCTGAGGCAGGAGAATGGCGTGAACCCAGGAGCTGGAGCTTGCAGTGAGCCAAGATTGTGCCACTGCACTCCAGCCTGGGCAACAGTGCAAGACTCCATCTAAAAAAAAAAAAAAAAATTCCCAAGTGTGAAATTGCTCAAATCATATGGAAATAGATGTTACAGAATTGTTTGCTCTATGAATCTTTTACAATTAGAATGTTTCACCATGTGTATCTTTCAGGACAGTCTTTATTAAAAGCAATTGGATTAATAATCTCTGAATTGTCATGAATCTGCAAGTGTCCAGGATTTCACATGAAGAAGATGAGAGAAGACAACTCAGAGCGTGGAGTGACTTCCCTTCATTTTAAGTGAGCCAGTCCTCAGAAAATTTCCTGGGTATTAGTGTTTCTGCTCAAGACACGAGCTTATTAGAAATAAAAAATAGTTTATTAGAAATAAGAAATAGCTTATTAGAAATAAAAAATAGCTTATTAGAATGAAAATGATGTTTAAAAGGACTAATAACTTCTTAAGATGATGTAACTTTTAATAGACAACATGTCAACTGTGTTAGGTGCATCTCTGTAAAATATTCTGAGATGTGAAGCTTGTTAATAAAATTACAGCACAACTCAATTTGACACAAATGCCACATGATATCAAAAAAACCTGAGAGCCTATAGGACCAAGCAAAGTATTTGTGCAGTACCCTTAACTATTCATCTCATCTTTTCATATACAAACAATACAAATAAGAAGACTAGAGGAAAATTAGAGAGCAATTTCCATTAGGGATTGCCAATAAAGACACATCCCTGATAGGAAAACAAATCAAAACAAAACAAAACATATTCTGGTATTTAAAGAGAAGTCCCAAGGATGACATTTTCCCTTGATACGTATCCTCAGCCACTCAGTGCTAAACTCTTTACCCCTGACTCGCCTCAGTAGTGAGACTTGGGTACTTCATTATTCAGGTCGCCTTTATCATCCTCCAGAAAGCTCAGGTTAGCATGGGGGCAGGGGAGGGAGATGTTCCTTAAATGAATGTCTGTGACGAGACCAGAATTTGTGATTATACTTTGGTTTGAAGAATATCCATGCATCCTATAAACACACTATTGACATAGCACCTACTTTTGTAAAGGTAGAGATGATACAGTTTTTGTAAATGCTACTGTCTTCAGAAGGATGATGGAAACCTGAAGGTACTATCCACATCTAGCAAATGTTATCTTGGAATCTTTTTCTTTATATCTTATTCTTTTTCACCAATAAGCATGAATCATCTTCTCTTGCTGTTTCCTTTCCTTGTCTTTTTTATTACAAAATTAAAAATTACTGAACAGTTGCCCAAAACACTGTAGATTTCATATCTTGTTTGGGCTAATTATATCATCTGGCCTGCCAAAATGGTTTCATTAATGAGCTTACATTGCAGGAGCTTTCTAATCAATTCTTTGACACTAAATGAAGGACCCCACCCATATTTAAGGATCTGAAGCCTGAAGCAGAGAGCAGCTTCTATGTGGAGGGTAGGTTGTTAGAGCTCTAGGCAATCTGATGCCTACATCTCTCCCCACCTCTGCTGTTGTGGCTGCTTTGTTATTACTTTGAATTGTGGAAAGACTCTCTGTGGTTCCCCAGCCTCAATTTTCTTCTTGGGTCCTATGATCTCAGACCTGTTGCTGGTAGTGGCTTCAAAACCATTTGAGGATTCCATATCTATTCACAGACAAGGTGTTCCAGGCTACGCTATGGAAGTCAACTTTGTGGGATTGAAACGTTAAGCTGGAATCCTTTCGACTTTTATGAATGCAAGAGCTTGTCAGGTAAGCAAAAGAAAAACAGGTGAAGAAACAGGATGCCGTTGTAAGCAGTGAGCCGGGCTTTGGCGGTAAGAGACATAGCCATTATGTGAGCACAGTGCAGACAAGGAAACAGAAGAGTTGTGATTATAGACTAGAGTTAATCCAAACAAGAACTGTGTTAGAATTTTGAAGGTTTTACCTTTTGAACACCAGACTTACTACTTTAAATACATAGATATATTTTTAATGAGCATATAATCAAGATTTCCCACTACTCATGTTTACTGAGCATTTGTCAGATGTGAGGCATTTTACTTTGTACTATGGGGTTCTCAGAGGACTTGGTCCTTCTTTTCAACCATCTTACATTAAAATGAAGATGTATTAGAAAACAAATGCATTCATGACATAAAAATCCACTGAGCTAATTAACAGTCAAGGCAAGGACGAAACAGAAAGATGTGGTTGGGTTGAACTGGCTAATTCTAGTACAGATCTTGCTATAACACATGAAAAACTGAAGTATAGGGAAGTAGAGCTACTGCTTCAAGCAGAGCAATGAGGTTTTGATAATAATTTCAATTATTTAAAATTAAATGAATCAAATATATGTATTTTAAAGTTCAATACAATCCAAAGGTTTAGAATTAAGGGTATAAAAAATAAAAGTAGATCAAGAGCAAAATAATAATTACATCTTACCTATATGCTTAACAAACTTGACACATGGCATAATTCAAATGTAGACTTCATATAATGTATTCTGATTTTATAGCAATATTTCTCTTTAACATGTACCAGATTTTTCTTTATGTGTCTGTTTGTAGTAAGTCTGTTTCTCAAAGTCACTTCCCATTTTAAAATTGATTTAATCAATGATATAATTTTTAAATGGTGAGTAAATTATCTGCTAACAACACTAAAGAATTTTATAGTAGATTTTATAATTTCTTGTAGAATCTAGTATTTTTCATTATAATTGAACTTAAGTAATTTATTGTGTAATTACTTGTTTAATGCCTGTCTTAATCCTACTAGAATATAGGTTCCATGAAGGTCCAAGTCTTGTCTTAACACTTAGAAAAGGGGTCTCCAAACCCGTGGCCAAAGGCCAGTACTGGTCTGTGGCCCGTTAGAAACTGGGGCCACACAGCAGGAGGTGAGCAGCAGGTGAGCAAGCAAAGCTTCATCTGTATTTACAGCCGCTCCCCACTCCTCGCATTACTGCCTGAGCTCTGCCTCCTGTCAGATCAGTGGCAGCATTAGATTCTCACAGAAGCGTGAACCCTATTGTGAACTGTGCATACTAGGGATCTAGGTTGCACGTTCCTCATGAGAACCTAATACCTGATGATCTGTCACTGTCTGTCATCACCACCATATGGGACTATCTAGTTGCAGGAAAACAAGCTCAGGGCTCCGACTCATTCAACATTATGGTGAGTTGTATAATTATTTCATTATATAATTACAGTATAGTAATAATAGAAATAAATTACACAATAAATGTAATGTACTTGAATCATCCCCAAACCATCCCCCAACCCCAGTCCATGGAAAAATTATCTTCGGTGAAACTGGTCCCTGGTGCCAAAAGGTTGGGGACTGCTGACTTAGAATATCGTCTTCACACATGCTAGGTACTCAGTAAGTATTAATAAGGACATAAAATAAATTAAACATGATATTGATCATTTTATTATCATCATAATTATTTGGAGGACCATGATTATAACTAGGAGTAAGAAGAAAGACTAAAATATAAGGGAAATAATATTTTCCTTTTTATTATAACCCAACCACCCAAAAAACACCACTGGTAAGAATCCATTTTCACAGATGGGAGCCATCTAATTCCCAAGTCATGTTTACTCCTTCTAAAAGCAGATATTTAGGACAGAGAGAAACCTATGGTGGGGAGTAAGATTTAATGAGGGTAATATAAAATATAGGATCTCTCCTTAAAGCGCTTATGATGGCATGTGGCTGGAATCAATGATTGAGATGCTTTTCACATGAGATGCCCCACCCTGTGCACATTTTCTGAGGTCACTTTATAAAAAAATAAGTTTTCATGTTATCATAAGATTTTTTTTTTTTTTTTTTTTGAGACAGGGTCACACTCTGTTGCCCAGGACTGGAATGCAGTGACGCGATCTTGGCTGATTGCATCCTCCGCCTCCTGGGTTCAAGCGATTCTCGTGTTTCAGCCTCCCAAGTAGCTGGGATTATAGGAACCCTCATCCGCCCGGCTAATTTTTGTGTTTTTAGTAGAGACGGGTTTTCATCATGTTGGCCAGGCTTGTCTTGAACTCCTGTCTTCAAGCGATCCGCCTGCCTTGGCCTCCCAAAGTGCTGGGATTACAGGCGTGAGCCACCGTGCCCAGCCACATGTCATCATAAGCTCTTTAAGGGGAGATCCTATATTTTATATTACCCTAGTTAAATTTTACTCCCCACCATAGGTTTCTCTCTGTCCTAAATATCTACTATATACTTCACATAGTCCAGGGAAATAAAATGTTGTGCTAACTTACAGGCTTGTACCAGAAAAGGGAAATCATCTGACTTCTTTCAGATAAAGATCAAAAGGTCAAAGTGGAATCTCAGATTTGACCCAGTCTTCCACTGACCTATTTAGAATCTTTATAGACCAAGTTCATACTTTTAAAAATAGTTTGGCACTTCATGCCTATGTGTGTGTGCATATATATATATATATATATATATATGCACACAGACACATACATATACACACATCTATACATATTTAGTTACTATCTTACTATTCATTTCCATAGTTGGTTGGTTTTCTGTACTAAATTTCTATCTTTTTTGGACTGACTGACATAGAATCTCTTCATTCCTGACCATATTTCACAGTATCTCTCTCTCTTGGCTACATATAGCACTATAGATTGTATATGACTGTAGTACGTAGTAATGACGTCACATAAAGATTATTAGGTCTGAGGCATAGATGAGGCACTGGCATAGAAGTGAAACCGTACATGGCTAAATATTTATTATTATTATCAATTTTTTCAATTATGTAAAAGCTTCCACAGCGCCCTGTGATTCTAATTTTCAAGTACCTTATGATATCTGCTGTGAGTTTTTAGATATGAACTAAACTCAGCAAGTAAATCCATTAAAGTCTCTGTTATATAAAGTACACCATGCAGGGTAAGCTGTTAAGATGAGGGACTTAGGGAAATAAAAAATAGCAGTTAATTAAGAATGCAAAAACATGAGAGCTAATTCAATTTTTATTCAGCAAAGTATCACTCTTCATCTGTTTCTAGTACCAGTGAAACTACTGGAAAACATACTGTCAAAAATTTGATATTTACTTTTTAAAAATGCTCAGATATTTCCTACTAATACTTGTTTTTGTGTGGCCAAGGGGGAAAAATGGGGAATGAGTCCATTTATTTCTTGCTAGAGACTATGATTTCAAATTTCAATTAAAATGAAATAAGCAGCACGTTTATCACTATAAAGCAGGTTGCAGGTAGCAGCAATAGGCCTTCTTTCATTGCTATGGCAACTGGACTACATTGTCACGGCTACCTTGGCGCTACATGTAATTGTCAGTGTGTGAGCTAAACTGATAATGCACAATCAATACCCCATAAGCCACAAACCACATGTTGAGCCTGAAAGAAAACCCAGAGACAGCGAGGTAATTTATTATTATTTTTATGATTGTGGTCTGGGGCAGACACAGGCTATTACAGCAACCTATACATTTTACTAGAAGAGAAAGAAAGCAAACATGGATTGTACTATTTGGACTAAATACCTCACAACATTAGGGAGGAATGATCATCAAATGGCCAGGGGCACTGATTGAGCATTAAAGAAATAGAATGCAGTGGCAGTTGTGGCTGGGTGCTTGGAAAAACCACCAGCTCTCCACCTGAGGGGAATTATCCGTGCAGGATCTTGACATAAAGGCTCCTGGTCTGTCCAGGTTGGAGAAACTAAGTATATATTCACAATGTTCTCTGGATATCTTCTTCACCACTGGCAAGCTCCCAGTTATTTATAGCAAACAAATAAAAGTGTCTCCTGCAGACACCAAATTATGTGGGGATTACATGAAAGATAATCAGACCTCTCCATTTTCTCCACCCAGTCCTGCCCTTATTTGTAAGACTTTCCAAATTCTTAAGCAAGTTAAGAATTGCTATAACATCAGAATCATCTGGGAGGGCTTGTTGAAACGCAAATTGCTGGGTTCCTCCCCTAGAGTTTCAGACTCAGCAGGTTTGAGGTGGGAACTGGGAATTTGCTAATGCTGCTGGTCCTGGGACTACACTTTGAGAGCCATTGCCTAACACTCACCCAGCAGATATTTGTTTTAAAAAATGATAATATCTTTCCAAGTAGATTAACAATACAGCTCAAACTGTGTGTTTTATAAGAAAACATCGAGAAGTGAAATGGTTCCACTAACACTGAGATAGTCTGCAATCTTGGTTCTTGGTCAAGTATTCTATTGTTAGTTCCAGAAAAGACCAGGGAGAATTTTTTGTTGTTGTTGTTTTCTTGCTCTTTGTATATGTCTAGTTAAGGAGCTTGAAATCTCATAAACATCTCTGAAAATAAGTAAAGAATGAGCAGCATCAGAATTATTGAAATAATAGAGAAGCACATCTTTTAGGTATAAAGAGGAGCTGAGAAGTGAGTGCTATCAGCAGATGCAAGAAGAAGACAAACCTCAGAGATGAGTTTTTTCATCTATCACTCTCATCATCAGCCTCATTTTAGAAATAGCTGCTGAGAGAAAGCCTTCCCTCTAGTAGAAAGAAAAGCCAGAAGACTTGTATTGGAAGGGTCCTTCACCAAGGAAAATGCTGAGTGGTAGGAAAATCACTGAAGCAATTTGGACCTGGGCAGAGATTAATGATTTGGTAGAAAGCTGCTGACTCAATGACATTCACATCCCAGAGTAAAGTCATCTTATCACTTGGTTTCCAGTATCTGGTATGGTACTGAAGTCAAAATATGTATGTTTTGGAGATTATCAACAAAAGACATGCAGTTGAACATATGTATACATGTGAGAGATCATGTTGTCTTGTGCTTTCTCTTGTATTTTTAATCTATCCCCCAAAACACAGAACCTAACAGCATGTACTTAAATTAGATTTCATCTATTCAGATTTACTTTCAGTCTGAAACAGAAAAAAATCATGGGCATGTTGTAAAAACTAGCAATAAATTAGTAACAATAGCTATAACTCAATCAAGAGGCTAGACAACAATTTGATGAAAGTAAATGTTGTTTTTCCATTCCTTTAGAACAATTTCTGTTCTACGATACCACAGAAAATGTGAGGTGGTTAACAATAACAGAGTGAATATAATAGAGTTTCAACTTCCACAATAGTAGGCTAATAAAATGGTATTTTAAATTATCAGACAATTAAAAAAAAGACAGAGACACTTGCCAAGACGCTTAAGGTTTATAAAATGAGCTCAGCATTTAACCACAGATGGTCATTACATAATTTTTTTAAAAAAATTGCATGTAAGTATTGGAACAGAGCAGTGTTTCTCAAAGTGTGCATCAGTATCACCTGGGAGGGTATGACAAATGCAACTCAGGCTGCCCAACCCCAGGCATACTGCATCAGGAAACCTGGGTGGAGCCCAGCCATCTGGGCTAGCTCCAGCCCACCCAGTGATGCCTATGTACTACACACAGGTTGAGGATACCAATGGAGCACCTCTCTCTTTGTCCCTCTTCTCTATTACTGGCCTTGATGGCAACAACCACATAGCCATTTTTTTGGTCAAAAAGTTACTGGAAATGATGGACTATTCTTCAAACAAATTAGTAATAAAAAATAAAGAAGATCTCAGGTCATCATCCTTTATCTTTTATCATGATCTTTTATATTCACACTCATTTTAATCTTGTTATGCTTAAGAAATCAAGAGTAACATTGATTAGAAAATCACTTTCCACAAACTCGAAAGCAAACAGCTAACTGTACTATTTTCTCTCATTTTCGTTACCATTTAGCAATTTAAGATCCAAGTGTCTCTTTCCAGAAATTCACCCACTCCTCAAATGCTACAAGATCACCCTTCAAATGCAAATGTATCAGAGGGAAAGACACCTGTAAGAGTTTCTTTTCCCCATTGAGACAATTTGTCCATAGATTAGGTTTCAATAATCCCTCAGAAACCCTAGATTGCAGCCTTGGGTACTCAGGCTGTTTTAGAAGTTATTTGTTTCCACATTCATTAAAATTAATTTGTGCATTTTATGACACAAAAATTTATCAAAGCATCTTAGCTGTGAAACTAACTAAATAAATATCCCCAGCATTCCCCACATTTAGAGATTATTTATTTTCTCCGAGGGCTGATAAAAGTTCTGATGGCACATTTTCTAATTTTAAAGCATTTTCATTTCACACTTCTGAAAAACTTGAAGTCGGGAGTGAGCGGGTGGGTCTGTTTGAAGTGTGATTCACACTTTATGCTCTCTTCCCCCAACAGCTCATGCATATTTATAACGCCAACCAGACTTTAGGTTTTAAACATGCCAAAGAAAGGGACTATTTTAGAGGATAATAAATAATTGTGCTGTAGTTATGTAGCACCTTCTCTCCAAAATATCCACCCTGTTTACAAATGTTAACTCACAATTTCCAAAGATAAAATTATAGATAAGTCATCCTCACCTTCATCTTATCCTATACAACTCTTAAAAAATATTTTTCTCTAGAGCTATTTCAACAGTAACTTTTCTTTTCCAAGTCTATACCACACTCCTTATTTCACTTAATGGTTCATCATTCATTTATCACCTAGTCCATGCATCCATCTATCCATCCAACAATGCTTCATCAAAAAGACTGTGATAGGGATCCTGTGATGAAGCCAGTGATAGGTGCAAGGTGTACAAAGAGAGAACTCCATCTTTCTGATGGGTGAAGAGTCAGATAAGTATCAATATAAAAAGTGCAACAATTGATAAATAGATGGAATATTGAAGATGTGAATATCTAACTTGTTTTTCTAGGTCAGTTAAAAATGATATTATGAGGGCAGTAATATTTTAATTGAACATGAATGGGTAGGAGGGAGTACACTAGGTTAATGAGACAGAATAAGCAATTCAGGAGAAAGAAGTAGCATAAGTACATTTGCAGAGGACTGAACGAGCACAGCATATTCAGGAAACAGCAAACAATCCAGCATGGCTAGAGTGCCGGTTGCATATAGCAAAATGGTGGGACTCAAGACTGAAATAATAAGCAAGGGATAAAGTGGGAAGAGTCTGTACATCACTGAGGAGTTGGGATTTTATCCTGTAGCTGGGGGATCACCTATTCAACACCATAGGCTAGAGGTTTTCTGTGGGAAAACTAGAGAGTGTGCCGCTCATTAAAAGGCATTCTAATTCAATTATTTAAAACATCATGCAGGCTCCACAAAGCACACTTTCAGGTTTACAATCAGTGCCTCTTTCTGATTCCTAAAGCTATCTGGAAACCATAGGAAAAAAATATTATCAGATTTGCATTCAACTGGATGGAGATAGATTCTAGTGGAGTGAGGCAGAAGACAAAACTTCCAGTTAAGAATTGCTATAACAGTACAGTTCCTGTTAACGTGGTTGGTTCGTTCACATATTCAATGGATATTACTGAGTATTAATAGGCACAAAGCCCAGAATCAGACATGTAATTGCTGTGATGGAAAGTCCAATGCATTGCTTTCTGTTTGGTTTGGTTTGGTTTTTGTCTTCCTTTAGTTCATAAACTTCCTAAAGGAAGCAACAACACCTCTTTTAAAAGCCATCATAAGCTTGCCTAGAGCGCTACTACAGAGTCGTGCATGCTCTGTGCATGCCACAAATGTGTGCTGATGATATTCAGTTTCACGACTACAACACTGTTTTGTAACTTAGCCAGGAAACAGAGAAGTGCTGTGATTTAAACAATGTGCTATCCCACTTCCTCACTGCCAGCAACAGAACCCAGAAGCCGAAGCTCTGGGCTTGGGAATCAGATGGCTGGGAAAATTCTGGAACTCAGTTATAAGCAGTGAAGACTGTTTCCCACTCTGAAGCAGCCCACGGTTTTCAAGGATGAAAACAGTGAACGTGTAATTCGGCAGTGTGATACACTATGAAGTACCCTTCTCATTATTCAGCTTGTGGACATAATTTGTTTGAAGTGAGAAAAAGCACATTTACCTGCCTTAAAAATAAGATGTCCTATTCATGTATTAAAAAGATCTCTATAAAGTTTACAGTCATATTGATATAAAACAAATGTAAAGCACGTGCAATGGATACTTGTAAGTTTATAAAATTTTTCTCTGAAAAGGATTGGTGATAACCAAAATCTTCTAACATCTAATCAGGAACAGCTCCAAAAAAATTCTCAATCTTCTGTTCTTTATCCCACACTGATCTTGTTAAACTTAGTTTATGCTATGATTTCTCTTCCTTATTTCAGGTCTTTTAAAAAAGAAATCTGGGCTGGGCACGGTGGCTCATGCCTGTAATCCCAGCACTTTGGGAGGCCGAGGCAGGCGGATCACGAGGTCAGGAGATCGAGAGCATCCTGGCTAACACAGTGAAACCCTGTCTCTAGTACAAATACAAAAAATTAGCCGCATATGGTGGTGGGCGCCTGTAGTCCCAGCTACTCGGGAGGCTGAGGCAGGAGAATGGCGTGAACCCGGGAGACGGAGCTTGCAGTGAGCCGAGATGGCACCACTGCACTCCAGCCTGGGCAACAGAGAGAGACTCCGCCTCAGAAAAAAAAAAAAAAAAAGGAAATCTGAATTCTAAGTTATTTTACTTGTGTACATATCTAAAATTTGATTTCTTTTGCTTTCCCCATTCCATATTCCCCTATTGCTCCCCTTCCTCTCTCCAAGCGCTGGCCACCCAGATTAATAACCTGCATCATTCTTATCTTTCTCCATTACTATCTCATTTCCTCACTTAACAATACATTGTGGAAATATTTCTAAGTCATCTGCTTTAGATGAAGACAGATCAAGTCCATTCTGCAAAATGACTGCATAATAGTCCCTGATAGGGATTTACTATAATTTACTTAATTCCATTTTTCTATTAGTGAACATTTACTTAATCTTTCCTCTTTTTTTTTTTTTAAACCACCGCAAAATATGATGCAATATTGGGTATGTATAGCTAGATACTGGTATTTTTATTTCTATGAGAGTCTCATAATTAGGATTTCTGATCAAAGCATATATATGTGTGTGTATATATATATATATATAAAACTTTCAATAGAAACTGCCATTCAAAAGTTAATCTTTTTTAAAAAAAAGCTGTAACAATTTAAAATTTTTCTACATCTCAAACGGCAATAGGAGTTACCACACTTTTAAATTCATGCCAATCATATGAATACAAAACATCTCATTGTTACTTAAATTTGAAATTGTCTGACGATGAAGGAGGTTGGGCATCTTTTCATTGGTTTAAGGATAATCTGAATTTTTTCTTCTGTGAATTGTTTATTCATATTTATCACCAATTTTTCTATTGGGTTGTTTTCCTCAGTTATCAATTTGCAAAAATTTTAGGTAGAGTCTAGACATTAACGCTACCTTCATTTGTGTGGCAGGCACTGCTAGCCACCTTTCTGGAATTAATATTGCCCTTCTCCCCATAGTAAAATAACTCTAATGCTAAAGTTGCAAATATGCCCAGATTAGAGAAACAAAAACAATTACAAAACAAATCATATTAACCAGTTGTCCTTGCAACTGGGATAGACACATTTATGGATAAAGATATATAACCATAATTTACTAGAAGAGACTTCTGGGTCTCTTCTTTTAAAAGATACAAACTTAGCCCACATATACATTTTTTGCTTTCACCTTCCTGTTTTCTTTTATTTCCTGCCTTAAGGTGGAGAAGCCATTCAGTGAACATGAAGTGACAAATATGAGGATGAAAGCCTATATAGTCAGGACAGCTAAGGAGACAGGTAGAATGAGCTCAGTTTGTGATTACCACATGGAGTCATTGTATGAGGTCTGGATTGCCTACCTTCCAACTTCTTATTACATGTCAAAAATTAAGACACCTAATTTGTCCAAGCCACAGTTACTTGGGTTTTTGGTTATAACTACTTGTAATTCTCATGGACACATTTTATTACATTTCCAAATATATAATTTACATATTGAATTTGGCAATGATATCTTTTATTGTAATTTTTTTTTTTTTTTTTTTTTTTGAGACAAGGTCTTGCTCTGTCACCTAGGCTGGAGTGCAGGGGCATGAACACGGCCCACTGTAGCCTTTACCTCCTGGCTCAAGCAGCCCTCCTACCTCAGTCTTCTGAATAGCTGAGACTACAGGCACACACTACCATGCCCAGCTATGTGCGTGTGTGCCTGTGTAAAGATAGGGTCTCATCATGTCGCCCAGGCTGGTCTCCAACTCCTGGGCTCAAGTGATCCTCCCACATTGGCCTTACAAAGTGCTGAGATTACAGGATTGAGCCACCGTGCCTGGCCTAAATTTCTCTTAAACTTTTTATATGTTGACCTTTTTTCTCTTAAGATTATAGCATATAGGATTCTTGTTTTGGTTAGCAATGTTTCAACCAATCACTAGATTGTATCTCTAGTCCAAATTTTCTTCCAATATTTTTAATAATTTTTTAAACTTTAAGTCTTCAATTCACTTGGAATTTATTTCTGTTTATGATGTGAGATAGGCACCAACATTATTTTCTTCTATATGGATGGTTGGTTATCTTTCTACCATTTGCCAAAAAAACACTTTCCATCTCTCCACTAAATTGTGATAACAGCTTTGGAAGTGATTAAATTTCCATGTATGCTGGGGAAAATTTCTGAGCTACAATTCTTGTCCTTTAATCTATTTGCCCACTTTTCATGCCAGGTTCATACATTATTTTTTATTACAATGGTTTTATATTAGAATTATAAAGCATAGTTCTTACTCAAAGTCTTCTTACTTATATTTTCCTTGGCTATCCTCAGATATTTATTCTTCCATAGGAATTTTAAGAACACTGGGAAATTAAGAAAAAGACACCAGAGGGAGATTTTACTTAGAAATGTAGTGGGGAATTACTTTGATATTAAATTGTCACCACTCAAAACCATAGTCTTTGATTTAGATAGTATTTATTCATTTTTATAGTTTAAAAATATAAATTCTTGTTAAATGTACTCCTAGGTATTTTAGATTTTTGCTATCTATTGTGATTTGCCAATATTTAGCTGTGCCAGGTAAGGAAAACAAAGACCTTTCCTTCCTTCCTTCCTTTTCACCCTCCTTCGTACCTTCCATCCTTTCTCCCTTTCTTTCAGAGATATTCAAAATTGTTAAAGGTAAATGCCATAAGGCAAAAAATAAAAATAATCTGATCAGAATAAACATGAGGGATACATTCATCTTCTTTTACTGACACCTCAAGAGGAATTTTTTTTCTCCATTCTACAAGTAAGGCAATGGAAGCTCAAATTTGGGGGACTAATAAGTATTATGGCCATGATTCAGATTCAGGGATACATGCTTCACAGTTAATTGTTTTTTTTTTCCCTAGCAAGTTATTGTTTCTTTATAGCAATTTCCCCCAAATAGTTCTTCATGTATTGTTTGCTCCCTATGCAGAGGGACTGAGACTAACCCAAAGACTAAAGGTGAGAAGATATTTTAAAATATGCTCCCATCAATAAAAGAGGTTTTCTCTAGTGCTCACTGTATCATATCTAAAATGTGTCTTGTTTTGCTTTTAATTTTAGTACTGTTGCAAGATAAAGTAAAACATTAATCCTGGTTTTAGGTGTACTGGGGTATTACATTTACTTTCCTTTTACTCTTGAAAGTCAGAGTTGCACACAGTAAAAGTTTAGTTCCACTAAACTTTACCTTAGTTGGAATTATTTTACTAATGGGAAAGAAAAAAAAAACAAATAAAATAAACAAAATATTTCTTTCTCTCAAAAAACAGGAACTTAAAATTCAGATGTAGGGCCTATTTCTTTTGCCATTTTTTCCCCATATATTTTCAACAATAACCAAAAAGGAGGAAGGTAGAAGAGCAAGAAAGTTCTGACACACTTAAATACTATATCCACTCTTATGATCAGGCATATATTTTAAAGCACTGTCTACATTTAAGACAAATTGTCATTTGGAATTTTTTTCCCTGCATTCCAAAGGATAGTGTCATTATGCATGGTATTGAAATAGATGGGTAAGGATCAGTTACAGAATTGATTGTTGTTCATGGAGGGACTGTATCTTTCAATGATTTGGCTTTGTTAAGTGCAAGGTAATACAATGAAACTCCATGACAGGTGGGGAAGAAACTAGGAAGATTTCTGGGCACTCATTTCAACTACTGTATACACGTACTCTTATAACACAACTCTTATGACTTTATGACAAAATCTAATTCCCCCTATTCCAAATTAAGACAGAGAGTTTTGGGTATATAACCCTCACGGAAGACAGAGGAAGAGCAAATGCTCTTCACTTCCTTCCTTCTACTTGCCCTTCTTCATTGGACAGCCAAATAGTGAGTTTGTGTAAAGATTTAATTAAGGTTAGAATTAAAACACGGATCCTGCTTCTATGCCTGGGGGGAGTCAGTGCATGTTTTTTTGAAGTGTAATTTCAAGGGAAGAGTAAAACCTTGTAGAGTAGGTTGGTTGTTCCTACTAATTGGGCCCTAAGTGAGGAGTCTATGTGTTTAAAGGGCTCCTAAAAAGGTTATTTGCATTTTCCACCTCCGCTGAGACATACTAAAGGAGAAATATTCTTCCCCTTGAAAAAGTAGTATTTTGAGACGTGACAGTCCTGTCCTTGATTGGTGACAGGATCAGATAACTGATCCAGGGAACCACTGATTAGTATCCTAAACCCATGAGGTTGGGTCAGTTCAGGCACCAAGAAACTATAATTTTCTCTTGAAATTCTGATTATCTCAAGTTCCTATAGGGGTTGTATCACAATGAATACAGGTCCTTTTAAGAGATTTGGTACACTAAAATAGCTAGATTCTGAAAATGCAGAAACAAATGTGCAGAGACAGGAGAAGTCTAGAGCAGGGAAAAGTCGAGACAATTCCAAATGCTCTTTTGGCTGAAGCCTGCCCCAACAACAACAAAAAAAAGTAGAGATGTATTTTCCCTGTACTTTTGCCCACGTTATTCAGTGATGGATAATAATTTTTCCTTCCAAGACTATTCCTTTAAGGCTCAGTTCAAACTCCAACACCTCCATGAATGTATATCTACCCCAGTTTCCAGATATCTCTTTATTTTCTGCATAACTGTAGCACCTACTGTGGATAGCACCCATCTGACATAAGTATGGACACATGTATATCTAGTTTACTTGGAGTTCTAGAATTCTAAGGAACCTAGAAGACCAACTTTAATCTCCCATTTTTCATATTAAAAACTACTTTTTAAGGAAGTTAAATAATTTGTTTAAGTTTCAGTGACACATTTTTACTGGGTGTTTCTTCTCCTCAGCTATGTTACAGACTCCTAGAATGCAGAATAAAGGTCTTACCCTTCCTTGGAGTTCCTGTGTATCCTCACCAAATAGATTTTCCACAATAGTGCTTAATAGATATGTGTTCATCAATTAACGTTGAGCATGGAGTACATTTAACTTAACCCATACAATCAAAATTATCTTTTAAAATGTGTAATAGAAGTAATATGCTAAGTGTGGAAGACTATTCTCGGAGAACTTACAATTTTGCATAAGAGATAAGACACGCCAGCTTATGCCTACCCTAGCTTAGGTCATTGACTTGTTGTTAAGCCAATTCTAACCAAAGAACAATGTATTCTGTAGTCTCAATCTCACCTGTGGATTGGCCTGGATTTACTATACTTTTGCAATGGTTTGGTGTGCCCTAGGCAACCTCCCACTGGTGTGTCTTCCCTAATTCTTCTTCCTTACCTGGGCCTCAGAATTCCTTGTGGGACTTCAGCATTCCATGGAAAATATAATTGTTAGAAAAAGCCCTAAAAAATACATTTTCTATCTTTACCCCTGTGAATTATATTTGAAAACAATGGGAACACTATTTAGTGGATTATGGGCATACAGGACAAAATCTACAGAACTCAATTCCAGATGAGAGGAGACCTGAAGGCCATAAAGATAGGCTAAGTTGAAATGAAGCAGGGCTATGCTCATGCCTGGACCTAGGTGAGACGAAAGTGACAAAGGTAAGTATTATCAACTCTGAGGCAGAGAAAGAAAAGGTGAAAAAATATTAGATTGGATTTTTTTTGTCATTGGAGTAAAACAGGCACCTTCAAGTGATAGATTGGCAAGATATATAGACATCAAAGGGACTGCAAAATCTTAGGTAGTAAGTTTACAAAAGGACTAATAAGAGAATTGTTGAAGTGTACTGAGGCTGCAGGTAGAATCTTGTGTGGCTTTTGTAATTGAGGAAAAGGTGTATTCCAGTTGTGGCCATAGCAGAGTGAAAAGAGTTAAAGGGCTGGGAGCATGTAGCATTCTGACAGCCTATAGTCTCAGTGAGTAGGATCCAGGCTGTGAAAGGCAGAAAATCTTTCTTTCTTTCATAGTAACAAACGCTAATCTAAGGCAAAGTGTAAGATGTAATTCAACATATTTTCAAGGGTGACTGAGGATGGAAGGGAGCATCTGTAACCCACAGTCTAGAAAACCATTATTAAGGAATGAATGAATGACTATCCAAAGCAAGCCAGCCACTAACCAACTGATAATCACATATTCTTTCATGTGCTATGTTCAATATTGTGAGAACATCACATGAATCAGAGAAGTGCCCATAGTCTCCATGTTCCCTTAACTTGGAGGAATTTGTACTCTAATGAAGGAGGCAAAGTAATGCACTTAGTAGCACAGGAAACGATACCACATACTATAAATTTAGGTATTACATTTCATGATAAATTTCACATACAGAAACATAAGTGGTGATTTTTGTGTCCAGGAAAGACTTGGAACTGACTTTTGAAGGAAATGCTGCATTTGCGAAGGTAGAGAATGTAGTGAAAGTCATCACAGGCTTCAAGAAGAATACAAAGATGAACACGCATGATAGGACAGTCAACAGGGAGGAAACCAGCCTAGGTAGAGTGGAGGGAAGAAACAGGAGATAACATTGGCCTTGTGGGGGAGAATATTATCAAGAATAATCAGGAAGAGAAACTTAGCATTGTCATGGTAGAAAAAGAAAAGCACCTAAAAAATTTAAAAACATCATATAATTATCATAATTTTAACATGTTATTAAAATACAGAAGTAGAATGTAAGACACTTTCATAGAAAATGGTAAATTATTAAGTTTGGTATGGAGTAAAAAATATTCCCCTATACTATCTATTTTTTCTATTGAGATCTAATATGTGAATATCAACTATCTCCCTCTAACAACCAACTTTAAGGTAAATATTATCACACAACAGTTTTGCTGGGTCAAGTAGATGGCAAGAAAGCCATTTTGTAGTACTAGAAGAGCCTTTGTGCTAATTCCATCCTGTATTATCCCCTGCCAATAGATTTGCTCTCTTCCCCAACGTGGGATTGATGCAGAGTGACTCAGTACATGGGTGTGATATGCTGAGGATTGGGTAAGGCTCAGCACACTGGTGAGATAAGGAGGGTGACCTTACAGTCAGAGACTCACAAGGCCTAGCTCAAAATCATTGGATACTTATGCCACTATTGTCATTGATTCTGTTTCAGCTCAGATAGATAAGTTATGGGCTGGTTTCTCCATCTCTTTTCTCTGAGAATCATAAGTCCTGAAGGTAAAAAAAAAAAAAAAACAAGGAAAGAAAGAAAGAAAAGAAAAGGCAGGTAGATTTGGGGTGGATCTATATGAGAAGGGTAGGACCCAGATGGTACCTGATATATCTGCAGATAATGCTGGCTGAAGCAGGTAGGGGCAAGAGGGAGCTTTTGGCAGCTCCAGAGAGGTGGGACTGACAAGGAAGAATAAGTTGTAACTTTAGGTGAAGAAAATCCCATGAGAAGTGAACCAGAGGTGAGAAGACCAAATGTTGAGGCATAAAAAATAAAGTAGCAGATGAAATGGTAACCTGCAATTAGACATCATTGAAGAAAAAAAATAACAACAAAACCTGGTAGGAATAACAAAAAAAGGAAGAAAAGTAAAAGCAATTTTAAAAAAGCAGAACAGATAAGAAAGAATGTTTTGATCAGAAACACTCTGAGGATTGGCCTTCCTGAGTATCTGAAATTTGAACAGTGCCCTAATGTGGGCTGGTCATCCATCATAAACTGTTAAATATGGGAGGCTCTTCAAGGTGAAGAGAACTTTAGACAGCTAGGGAGAGAAGACACATAGAGTATAAGGGGAGCCCTGAAGAAAGTCACACTAGTTACCTCCTCCTTACCCCAATCACACTAACTGGCAATCAGAAAAGAAACCATCCATAACATGTAAGTGGGTCAGTGGTCACTGGTTTCCAAAGACAGGTTTATTGGTTTTATTTCAGGGATAATTCAATAAACAGGCTATTGTGGGAAGTTTGATGTAAATAAAATTCCTTCATAACATATCATGTGGCCACCATCACTGTAACATTCATATTACTTGAAAATAGCACAAAACTGGGCTATTGATACACATAGGATAGGTTAATTTTCAAATTGTCATAAAAATGTAATAATCTAGTGCTGAAAAAGTAATTTCAGCATCAAACTTCTTAGTATCTCACTGCATTTGCCAGGATATACCAGGGATAACACCACTAACAGTGATAAATATTTTATCATCTGTGCTCTTGAATGAGAGGATTAAAAGAAATCAATGTTTTCTGAGCACCTACTGTGTGCCAGGCACTTTATTTACAAAGATAACCATATGCAATTCTCATAGCAAATCTGAATGTTAAGATTAGTGTATTCACTTTGCAGATGAGAAAATGGAATCTCAGATAGATGTAGCATCTTGCTCAAAGTCCTACACTTTACTAAGTAACAAAGGCAAGAATAAAATACAGGGATATCTGGCTTCAAAGATGGTTCTTTTTAAAAAATCTATTCCACACATCCTTCCTAAGAAAAGTTATGGTAACCCTGCCAATGCCCATCTTACTAATCCTTGGGTCTCAGCACTAAAAATAGAGAATCTTCTTAATATTTGGGCCAATATCAATTTTCATTCCTCTGGACAAGAAAAAAAAACTAAACAAAATTAAACAAAAAATGAGCATTTTCAACACATACTAGATGAGATTCTACTTGAATTTCTCAGTTATTACATTCAAAATATCAAGGTCATCATTTCTGATAAATTTCCACTTTTTATAGATGAACGTTTGTGTGACTCACAATGGAATCTTTGGGAGATTTGCCCATTTTAATCAATGCAACAATAGGAGGAAAGAGGAAATGCTCAAGATGGATGTGTCAGTGATTAAATTAGGTTTGACCCTCAAACTGAGAAGGAGCCGGCATGATGAAAGATCATTTGTACTACTTTTTAACTACTCCAGAATTCTAGGCAGTGTTTACCCCACCAAAGGGAAGAAGATTTCAGACCACCTAGCATGTGTAACACATCCCTTGAATTATTTCCAGCTATACATTATTTAGGAGGAACTATTTTAACATGATATTCATCAAAAAAATAATTTCTAAAAAGGGAGTAAACCAGTACTGAAATCAAAGGCAGCTGCAGAAGGAACTGTAGAAGGGCATGCGTTTTTAATATTGGAGCAAATAGAACATTCTCTTCCTGATCCCCAGTTGCATTGTGATGGCCATTTGTAAATCATTTTTAATTGTCTTATTAAGCAGCTTAGAGTGCAGCAATCAAAAGCTCGTGGTGTTGTGAGACCTGGCATAGCCATCAGGCACGGATCAGCAGTCAGGGTAATAGAAGATGCAAGATTATATAACCAGTTATGGTCAGGAGGGAAGGTGGTTTGGGGAGAAAGGAGTACATGGTTGTTTCTGAAGAGATGCTGATCTCAGACAATATGAAACCTGACATTATAGTTCCAGGGAATGAAGACCCCTCCCTGTCCATGCACACACATCAGTCATGTGCAGTCTAATGACTGCACTGGGAAAAGCCAACTGTCAAAAGCAGTCATCTCTCTTCAAGGAGAAATTTCTTATGCAGTATTCTAAATCATGACATAAAGACTGTTTGCAAAACAGGCCCCAGAGGTTGGATTGTGTGTGTCTGCATAGATTCCCAGTAACCAGATCAGGAAGTTAGATTCTTGCTTTGATGAGAACACACAAAATCGCATGAGAGTGGAACCTTTTCTTTAAGACAAAATGAAACTTTAATTTCATGAAGAAAATTTTCTGAGGTGAATGCATTGTGCCACAACTTTGTGATTCACAGTTATGACACCTCTAGACCTCAAATAAAAGATTCCTTCTCATTCTTCTACAGACTTAATTGTCTTACAATGTCCTAAAGACTTCTAGTGAAAAGCAGCCAACTTTTGAATTAATTATTATGCTATTTCAGGCAGTAGCAAGGAGAAACAGACCTGGTCCTTAGAAGTGGACCTGGGCAAGCATATGCTACATTCCTAACCAAGGGATCCAGTGAAATAGATTATTCTTCATAGGCCATCTCTTACTAGGCAATAACCATTTGCAACTCAACCACCAACCGCTGGCTAAAAATGAGGAATGTTCAAAGAAAGAATTCATTAAATTAATGCCAATTTAGTTGCAAACACATTAAGAGAATTTTTTATTAATACTACAATATTAGTGGGAAAAAAGTCTGATATCCTGGATTTATAGCTCCAAAATTATAGCTCCAAAATTATAACATAAGTAATACATAGTTTGCCATTTATGATTTGATTTTCCAGCTATAGGTAAAAATATTTTAAGTCTGCTTTCATATGCATGTGGCCTTGTCTAGAGAAAGAAACCATAAAATTTCAGTAAGGAGACTGTTGGTCAAATGTTGTGACAGTCTTAGAAAACTCACAATTACTATGCATTTTTCTGAGCAATGACCTGTTAATTTCTCTTAACTTTAGATTTTGAAATAAGTTTAATTACTTGTATAGTATAAATAATCTAATTTTAGGGAAATAGGCATGACAAAAGGGAAAGAATAGAAATAATTTCCCACATTTTCATAAAGTAGTCCCTTTTCCCAAATTAATCCTCTCTAGGTTTAACTGTGAGTGTAGCATTTCAAAAATATTTGGTAAAATATGTCAGAAGTTTCTCCATGGAAATTATGATAATTCTGCAATGGCCATAGTCCATAGCTTTTACCAAAGAAATTAAAGTAAAATAAAATGATTATTAGACACATAAACAAAATGGACTAGATGTTTACTTTTCAAATGAAAATGCAGAAAACAAGGAAGGATATATGTAAGCATAAATGTCACTTCATTTTGTTGTCAGGATTTAACCATGTTTTGCTTGAGAGCTCAGAATAATCCCAGTCTGTTGGATGCAGGCAAGATACAGCATCTTTGTGCTTGATCCTGCTTTATCAGATATGTTTATGTATGCTAAAGAATTCAAAGATATATAGTTAGAGTAGACATAAGAATTACAGTGGAGAAGAGTATCCTAAGAAGAAGAAGTGATAAGTGACAGGTCTAAAGAGCAATACAAGGGACTACATAGAAAACTTATTCATAAGGTTATTAAGGAGAAGATGAGAAACAAATTGGTAAGTGAAGAGCTAGTGAGGTCAGAGTAAGATGTTCAAGACAAGGCTGAGAATAAAATGTAGGTTGAAGAGGATTACTTTATGGAATCTTGGTTGAACAAGTTCAGCATGAATTAACAGTTTAAAGGAATCACACAAAAACAGACGAGGAAGAAAATATTATTGTTGTTGTTGTTGGCATTATTTTTTATTATAACAATTATTTTTAGAAAAAAGTACTATAAATAACATGGGAAAGGACATGATTTTTATCCTCACTGTACCACCTTTTGCAGTTCATTGAATGAAAGAAATTCATTTGGCAGGGCTAATTTTGTAATTAAAAACCTTATCATAGTTTTCTGTAATGAGTTAAGCAAACAGACAGTAATTCAGTTATAATATTCACACAGCTTATACCAGGGGACATTTGCTTACTAAATTAAATAATATGGAGGAATAAGGAAGAGATAAATTACAATGGGGGTAAACAGAGTATATCAAGGACAAGAAGGAATTCAAACTTGTCAGGCCATGACTGGATTTCTTATATTTGTACCAGGACAGGAATTTAGTAATTTGCATCTCTCTTGGGATAGAAGACACTGTGACCAATGACTTCATTAGAATATGGTTTTGTTAAGAATTATGGTTTATCTCTCTTGAGAGAGATGGTAAATAATCTACTTAAGACCAAAAGCCACCATTTTCTCCTTTCTCATAGAAGGAATTATTTTATTATAATCCCAAAGAATTTCCTAGAAAAGCCTTATTCACCTGGGCTTGAAGAAGAGTACAGTACTTGTTTCACAGAGCAGAGAATCAATGATGGGAGAGTGAGGTTGGATTGTGGTAAGCCTACCAAGCCTCTGTGAGCATAGACTATAATTGCTCCAATGGCAGTCTCTAAAACTACTGATAAGTTTATTTTTGTAAACATGTCAAAGTAACCCTAAGGTCCACCACTTATCAGGTTCTCTGTTTGAAAAGCAGTTCTCCCAAAGTGAAGCCCATAAAGACCCATAACATTCAATTACCAAATTTAAATGCTGACTCAAGAGTTAATTCAGACACATGCAGAGAGACAGAGAGAAGAAAAAAAGGAAGAGAAGGAAAGGGAGTGGAAGGGATGTAAGAGAGGAGAAATAAAAGAATGGGAGGATAGAAGAGAGTAGAAGGAAAAAGAGGAGGAGCAAAGAGAAATGAGGATAGGCAGGGTGGAGAAAATAGTGATGGAAAGGGGAGGAAATGGGGAGTAGAGGAGACACAGCCTCAGTACCAGGGCACCTGGCTTTGTCATTAGATTTGGTAATTCATGTAACAATCAGGCCCACCTTGCTTGCCTTAAAAAATAAGTAAACTATTTCTCCACATCTTCTCCAGCACCTGTTGTTTCCTGACTTTTTAATGATTGCCATTCTAACTGGTGTGAGATGGTATCTCATTGTGGTTTTGACTTGCATTTCTCTGATGGCCAGTGATGGTGAGCATTTTTTCATGTGTTTTTTGGCTGCATAAATGTCTTCTTTTGAGAAGTGTCTGTTCATGTCCTTCGCCCACTTTTTGATGGATGCACATATACACCATGGAATACTATGCAGCCATAAAAAATGATGAGTTCACGTCCTTTGTAGGGACATGGATGAAACTGGAAATCATCATTCTCAGTAAACTATCGCAAGAACAAAAAACCAAACACCGCATATTCTCACTCACAGGTGGTAATTGAACAATGAGAACACATGGACACAGGAAGGGGAACATCACACTCTGGGGACTGTTGTGGGGTGAGGGGAGGGGGGCGGGATAGCATTGGGAGATATACCTAATGCTAGATGACGAGTTAGTGGGTGCAGCGCACCAGCATGGCACATGTATACATATGTAACTAACCTGCACATTGTGCACATGTACCCTAAAACTTAAAGTATAATAATAATAAATTAAAAAAAAAGAAAAGCTAACCACAAAAAAAAAAAACAAAAACAAAAAATAAGTAAACTAATTGCCTCAGGTAATGTAGCTACAGTTGGAAAGACTATTCAAACCCCCCTTTGAAAGTTACTGTCTTGAGATAAGCCACAGGGCCCTAATTTTATACCTGAACCCGCAGCTTAGATGTTCTTAGACTTTGAACTACAGTCTGGGCTGTCTTTACCACTTGTTTCTACTCGTATTTTGCTAAATTCCATGGGATCTCATTATTCCAGTATCTTTATTGTTAAAGTCAGTGCAGGCAGGGGATCCCAGTCACTTTCCTTTGCACCCTGTGTCTATCCTCATTAAAGCATGACCCGTTCAGGACGACGGACAGCTCCCTGTCTCCCAAAGCAAGTATCTACAAACTAGAGGCTTCACTTTGCCATTTTAGTCACACGTGGAGTGCATCATGGAACAAAGCAAATACTTGTTTTTGCTCAACTGAGAGATTTTCAGCTTCAAGTGAATGATACGTGCCACATCCTGGGAACTTTCAAAGATATTTCAAAACACATACTGAACACGCTTTAGCATACATCCAATCACATTTGCCTTTTCTTTCAATCTTTCTAAATGGGACTTTGTTAAAAGTCAATGCAAATAATCATTGTGTATCAAATATATGCCGTGTCAAGATGTTTCTGCCTAGTGATCTGCATTGGAGAATGTTGATTGAAGCAATCAAATGTCAAATGTATCTTATCTTCAGAATACAATTGACAGAGACACATTCTCTGAAATTCTAGAATGCAGAAGTTTCTATAGTCTGGGATTAGGAAGTGAGTATAAACTTCTCCAAGTATCTATCTTACAAATAATTCTTCAAAATCTATTACATTAGACGTCACAGATGAGTAGGAATATGCTCCCTGGAAGACAGAATTTTGAAATTTTCCCCACTTCACTCTCTTTCTTCCCTACCTTCAAGGCAAATTATGGTATTATTTAAAAGAGGTAAGTTATTCTCTCAATATAGGAATTCAAGTCTGTGCATTATATGAAGAGGAAGAACAAGAATTACACATTTAGTAAGCATTCCAGGTTACATGGCTTAAAATTGAATGCTATGATAATCCCCTTAGCAATAGACGTAAGAGAAGTTCCCTTGCATTATTATTTACAGATTCCTTTTCCATAGATTCACTGCTATGTTGTACTGAGCACACCAGCTATTTGTATAAACAGGCTAGTTACAGAATATAGCAAATAATTAATTATCTCTGGTTGAAGCGTTGTCATGACCTCTTCCCAAGAAGCTTTCCATACCACTGTCTACTTGCTTCTGCCTTCCCTCCTTATGAGGCAACAGCCTACCACCATGTGCCATCTGTCAGCTTCTGCCTACAACACGTGAAGCCTCTTAAGTATCTGAGTATCATTTTAGATCCTATTTTTCAGGTTAAAAGCAGTAAATTGCAGATGGCAAGTGTTTTTTTTTCCTTGAGATTACTGAAAGCTGGGATAATTTTTTCGTGAGTCACGTTAAAAAAAGAACAAGTGATTTTATACAGCACCTACTCAACACGAACATGTGCAAAGAACAGCTATCCACCCAGCCATCCATTCAGTAAAGGAGGGAAGGATTTTGCTTTATGCTTTATGGTGACAGATTTCAGAGTGAGAGAATGTGTTGTAGTTCAGTGTGCTCTGCAAGCACAATCACACGATGTGTGAGGATGCAGGTGAATAAAGCAACAAAACTAATGGGGCACCTACAATGTGCTAAATTACAAGAGGCACTACATAGAATGGACTAAATTTAAAAGCTGGGGAGTGGGAGAATCCAGGTCAGAGAAAGGACTAAAATCATTATGGCAATGACAATTTAACACACAGAGTAAACTAAGATTAAGAATTTGTATAAAGAGTTTTTATTTTTCTTCTTTTCAACTATTTATGTTAAAGTTCTGGGCTTCAAAATTCCTGCTACAACCTAACTTTCATTCTTTGAAATGAGGCCATTTCATAAGCACCTCTGAAGAAGGAGTATTGCAGCAAAGATTTAGTGCTGAGGAGGAAAAGCTTTGGGTGATACTGGAACCATGAAGAGGGAAGAGGTTACCTCAACTCTTTCTAGCCAGCTTTGGGAATTTCCTGCAAGCCATTTCATTCCAATGAGTAATGCTGTGTCTTCAATTTCCATTGAGATTTAGCACTGGCCATATATGTAGATGGATATATGAGGGGTCTTCCAAAAGTTCGTGGAAAACGCATATAAGAAAAAAATGCATAAATTTCTATTTGGCTTTGTAGCAAAATAAACTTGTACTAACTTGTTATAACATGTCTGAACATGATCTAGTTTGAGGGAGTAAGAGAAAAGGCATTTGTTTTAAAAGTGCTCCTATCAGAGCAATACAAATTCTGCTAAAATTGAAACAAGGACAGACATGAAATTTATGGTGAAGCTTGGGTGAGAGAATGGTAAAATCACTGATGCTTTACAAAAAGTTTGTGGGGACGATGGCCAAAATAAATCAGCAGTTTAAAAATGGATATTTTTAGGAAGGGATAAAATGATGTTGAGAATGAAACCTACAGCAGCAGACCATCCACTCAATTTCTGAAGAAAAAAATAATCTTTTTGTACCCTAATTGGAGAGGACTATCAATTAGCAGCATGAACAATAGCCAACGCCATAGACACCTCAATTGGTTCACTAACAATGCTTACTGAAAAATTAAAGTTGAGCAAACTTTTCACTCAATCAGTGTCAAGACCACTGTGCTCAGATAAGCTGAAGACAAGACCAGAGCTTTAAATGAAAATTTTAAACAAGTGAGATCAACATCCTGAAGCATGTCTTTGAAAAATTGTAACAGGAGATGAAACATGGCTTCATCACTATGATTCTAAAAACAAAGCACAATCAAAGCAATGGCTACCAAGAGGTAGAAGTGGTCAAATCAAAGCAAAAGCAGATTAGTCAAGAACAAAGGTCATGGCAACAGTTTTGGGGGATGTTCAAGACATTTTGCTCATTGACTTTATGGAGGGCCAAAGAACAATAACACCTGCTTATTATGAGAGTATTTTGAGAAAGCCAAAGCTTTTGCAAACCACAAACAAAAACACAAAACCACTCAGGAGAGCTTTACCAGAGAGTCCTCATCCACTACAACAGTGCTCCTGCTCATTCTTCTCATCAAACACGAGCAATTTTGTGAGAGTTTTGATGGGAAATAATTAGGCAACCATCTTGCAGCCCTGATTTTGCTCCTCCTAACTTTGTTTCCTAATCTTAAAACCTCTTTAAAGGGCACCCAGTTTTCTTCAGGTAATAATGTCAAAAAGAATGCATTAGTATGGTTATATTTTCAGGACCTTCAGTTCTTTAAGGATGGACTAAATCACTGGTATCATAGCTTACAAAAATGTCTTGAACCCGATGGAGCTTATGTTGAGAAATAAATTTTTTCTATTTTTATCTTTTAGTTCAATTTATCTACAACTTTCTGAAATCCCCTTGTAATTCTTTAATTATGCCACCATCTTCAAAGGTGAGCAATGATAAAGGATAAATCCACATACCTCAATATGAAAACCAGTGATGGTAGTAAAGAAGGGTGCTTATTCAGCAAGTAGGTGAAATAAGTACATTTGATTAAATACTAACATCAAATCACATCTTCCAAATAATATTTCTTTGTTTGAGTGGCAGCCATAAAAACCTGAAGCTTCATACATCATAATAGTA
This sequence comes from Homo sapiens, assembly GCF_000001405.40. Classification (NCBI taxonomy): domain Eukaryota; kingdom Metazoa; phylum Chordata; class Mammalia; order Primates; family Hominidae; genus Homo; species Homo sapiens. The sequence goes on along the minus strand of NC_000014.9, from coordinate 79,158,410 downwards.
GGTATTTATGAGTTCCTCAAAATGATTTCTGCCCTAAATTGATACCACATTAACCAACTCATTAATCTCACTATTAGATATTCAGGAATGGTACTTCAAAGTAAATATATAAATAAGTTATAACTTATGTGATTTAGAAAGGTGTGAGGTGCCTTAGCAGAGACTTTTCTACACAACCTAAGGTGAACATTGGTTTTGATTTTAGGGAGATAGAAAGAAATACTTCTGAAAGAGAGTATACACAGGGGGAAGTCACCTAGCATAAAGGAGAATAAATCAACCTGCATTTGAGTATGGGTGGAGCAAGAAGTTAAAAATACAAGGCCATGTCAGGAAAAAGAAATTATTATCTTCTTAATGGACAGAAAATCACAATTTACAAATGAGGACATGATTCTAAGAAAGATCTTTACTCAATCACAATCCCCTTCTCATCCCTGACTGCATAGCGGCATTTCAGAAAAAAACAATATGCAAACAGTCAATTTTCAAATGGCAATAGGTGAAAAGTGGTACTTACTAGTCCCCATCACAAATATCTTTCCCTTATAAAATGCTTCTCAAGCCTAAAATATTTCTCAAGTCTTTTGTTATAAGTAATCCTTCATATTTTCACTTCTCTCTTCTCCATCATCCTTCCCAACAAAGTACCTAGAGTTCTCTCACCAGTCTAACAGGTAAGAATTTGAAATGATGTGATCAATATGAATTTTGAGTCACTTATCCATCAAATGACAGTACATAACTTTAGAGTCTCCAAAAGGTTTCAGGAGTGTTTCTTTCAAATGCTGATAGGGCAACTATTCCCTTAGACAGGGAATCTATGAGGATGACAGCTTTTGGCTCATGTCATGACAGGACATGCCAAGATAAGTATTTGCTGCTTTCTGTAATTGTACAACACAAAAGTGAGACACAAAACCAGCTTATGCTGATTTAAAAGCAAGCCTCAGGGATTCTGGAAATATTATACTAGCCAAAAAGCAATCCCAGCTTTGTCCATTTATTTTCTGGTTTCCACAGTGACCCCAAGGTGGTAAGACTCCCGACAGCTTCAGTAACCACTGAGCTTGACCAGAACCTCCAAAAAATATCCTTCTCCAGGAAGACAAGCTGATAGAGATGTTGATTCAATGCTGAAATCAAAGTGAAAATATTTAGATATATGTCAATATGCAATCATTTTTATATCTCACTGCTATACCTTGAATATTAAAAGAGGTTTTATTAAGACCCAAAGGGT